>NC_000015.10:88259459-88410975 GCF_000001405.40 Homo sapiens | reverse complement strand
CAATGGAAGCATACTCACAGCTGGTCCAGGTGGCAGTTTTAGAAGGTGAGGACTTTAAAATAATTGTGATGAATACATTGAAAAGTCTGCAGGAAAAGATGGACATGATGGATGAGGAGAAGGCAAATTTCAGGAGAGACATAAAAACTATGAATCAGAACCAAATGGAAATCCCAATACTAAAAAATGGAATATACAAAATAGAAGTTTTATTGCATCAAGTTAACTGCAGATTGGACAGAATAGAAAAGAAGATGAGTGAACTTGAAGACCGGTTGATGTAAATTATTTAAACAGAGAGAGAGGAAAAAAAATGGGGAAAAAAAGAATAGGGTTCCAATAACCTTTGAAAGGAATACTAAGGAATATAGAATATATGTAACTGGTGTCCCAGAAATACAAGGATGATGGAAATACAAGGAGCATGGGGTAGGGAAAATAGTTGAACAAATACTGACCACAATTTTCCAAATTTTATCAAAAACAACAATTTACAGATCGAAAAAGTAGAGCAAACCTCAAGGAAGATAAATACTAAGAAAGTCATACATGGTCAATCTAATAAAATCAATAGATTAGAGAAAACATATTAAAGGCAGTCAGATAAAAAGTCTGCAAAGGCAGCATCCAGGGCATAAGGGTAGGAATAACAGCAGACTTCTTGTGAAAACATTCCAGAAGAGAATGAGATGACATATTTAAAATCAGAAAGAAAAAAAAAATCTGTCAATTGAGAATTCCATATCCTGTGGGAAAATTTTTCAAAAATGAAGACAAAATAAATGAAAAAAAATGGAGGCAAAAATAAAGATAGCAGATAGACGAAGGCTAAGAGACCTGCACTGTATGAAACGCTAAAGGAAGTTCTTGAAGTTAAGGGGAAATGATACCAGGTGGAAATTTGGATTTATAAGAGGGAATGAAGAGTGCTGGAAGTGGTTAAAATGTTGGAAAATATAAAATTATTTTAAGAAGTGTTTAAAAGACAATTATTATTATTATTATTTTGAGATGGAGTAGTCTCGCTCTTGTCGCCCAGGCTGGAGTGCAGTGGCGCGATCTTGGCTCACTGCAACCTCCATCTCCTGAGTTCAAGCGATTCTCCTGCCTCAGCTTCCCGAGTAGCTGGGATTACAGGTGCATGCCACCATGCCTGGCTAATTTTTGTACTTTTAGTAGAGACAGGGTTTCACCATGTTGGCCAAGCTGGTCTCAAACTCCTGACCTCAAGTGATCTGGCCCCCTTGGCGTCCCAAAGTATTGGGATTACAGGTGTGAGGCACTGCACTCACCCTAAAAACAATTCTTTAAAGTGAAAATAATAACAACATAAATTGTAGAGGAAAGGAAATATATAGACAGGAAAGAATAAGTGTGTAGAAAAATATATGACAACAATAGTACCAAGTTTGGGAGGGGTAAATGGAATTTTGCTCTTAAAAAGTTTTTAATATATGAAAGAGCATAATTCAAGGTAGACTGTGATATGTTAAGGAAGTGCATTGTAGTCCTAAGGAAACCACTGAAAAGTAATGCAACAAGATAAATGGCTTAAATGCCAATGGAGGAGATAGAATGGAATATTATAAAAATCTGACTAACTCAAAAGAGAGTACGGAAAGGAAGAAAAGAGAAGCAAAAGCAGAGGCCACAAATAGCAAAAACTAACAAGAAGATAAAATTAAATCTACCATATCAATAAATTTGTTAAATGTACATGGATTAATACTCCAATTAAAAGATAGAGATCACCAGAGGAACAAAAAAAAAAAAAACAAGACCCAACTATATGCCATCTACAGGAAACCCCCTTAAATCTGAAGACATAGACAGATTGAAGGTAAAAGGATGGAAAAATATATAAATTGTAAACATTTAGTATAACAAGACTGATATGAATAAATTAACATTAGACAAATTAAAGGGTACTACAGAGAAAAAGAGAGTCATTTTGTAACAATAAAAGGACCAATTTAACAAGAAGATATAGCAATTCTAAATGCTTATGCATCTAATAACAATCTGCAAAAATACATGAAGCAAAAATTGATGGAACTGCTATGGTCTGAATGCTTGTCTCCTCCAAAACTCAGGTTGAAACTTTATCCCCACTGTAACAATACTAAGAAGGTGGGAAATCTGACTATGGTATTTGAGAAGTGAGAACTTTGGGAGGCAATTAGGATTAGATAAGGTCAAGATGGTGGGCCATTAGTGGCTTTATAGGAGCAGAAGGAGAGACCTGAGCTAGCATGGCTTAGCCCCATTGCCATGTGATGCCCTGTGCCAGCCTAGACTCTGCAGAGAGTCCCCACCAGCAAGAAGGCCCTCACCAGATGTGCCCCACCTTGACCTTGGACATCTCAGCCTTCAGAACTGTAAGAAATAAATTCCTTTTCTTTACAAATACCAGTCCCAGGTATTCAGTTATAGCAACAGAAAACAGACTAAGACAGGAACTAAAGGGAGAAAATGAAAAATCTACAGTTATAGTTGGAGATTTTAATATTATTTCAACAGTAATTCTTAGAACCAGTAAATAAAATATCAGTAAGTATAAAGAAAACCTGAACAATGCTATGAACTAAATTGACCTAGCTGACAATTATAGAAAAGACCCACCATCTGTAGAATTATACATTCACATTCTTGTCCAATGGATATGGAATGTTCACTATGCTAAAACATATACTTGGCCATAAAACTAATCTAGATTAATTTTAAGAGAATGAAATAATACAGAGTATGTTCTCTGAGCATGATGAAATTAAATTAGAAATAAATAATGGTAGGATATTTGGAAAATTCCCAAATATTTGGAAATTAAACAATATACTTCTAAGTAACCCATAGGTCATGAAAGAAATCATAAAGGAAATTAGAAAGTACTTTAAACTAAATGATATTGAAAACATAGCATATAAAATTTCTGGGATGAAGATAAAGCATCATCACTTGAAATGATCATACTAATAAAAAAAGATTTAAAATCAATGCTCTGGCTTCCACCTTAAGAAACTAGAAAAGGCATAAACTAGACCTAAACTTAGAAGTGAAAATGAAATAGAGCTAGGTGCGATGGCACATGCCTGTAATCCCAGCTACTCAGGAGGCTGAGGCTGGAGGAGCACTTGAGCCCAGGAAGTTGAGGCTGCAGTGAGCTGTGATCATGCATGCCACTGTACTCCAGCTCGAGTGACAGAGAGAGACCCTGTCTCAAAAAATATATGTATTAAATAAAAAAGAAAAGGAAATATTAAAGATAACAGCAGAAATCAATGAATTAGAAAATAGTCAAAGAAAATGCAGATGACAAAAGAAAGAGTTAGTGAACCTGAATACAAATGAATAGAAATTCTGTAATCTGAAGTAGAGATACAAAAATGATTGAATGAAAAGGAGAATAGAGATCAGGGACCTGTGGGACAACATCAAAAGGTCTAACATTGGTGGAATTGGCATCCCACAAGGAGAGAAAAGAGAGCAGAAAAAAAAAGTTTGAAAATATAATGGCAGAGGAGTAAATGCACAGATTCAAGATCAGTGAATCCCAAGGATAAATACAAAGAAATCACATTTAGGAAAATTACAGTCAAAATTCTAAAAACCAAAGATAAGGAGAAAATCTTGATAGCAGGCACAGAGAAATGATCCACTACATGCATAGTGACAATGATTCAGATTCCTACTGACTTCTCATCAGTAACCATAGAGGCCAGAAGATAGTGGGAAAACATCTGTAATAACCTGATTGAGAAAAAAGGTCAATTCAGAATTCTTTCTCCAGTGAAAACATTCTTCAAGAATGAAGGTGAAATAAAAACATTCTCAAATAAAAGAAAATGGAATTCACTGTCAGTAAACCTTGAAATGCTCAGGGCACCCTTTTAGGGTGAAGGGAATTGACATCAGATGGAAATTCAAATCTTTAGGAAGAAATGAAAAGCACTAGAAATGGTAACTGTCTGTGTAAATGTACAAACCTTCCCACAAAGAAAACTCCAGGTCCAGATGGCTTCACTGGTGAACTCTAACAGGTATTTAAGAAAGAAATATAGCAGTCTAACAAAAACACTTTCAGACAACAGAAGAGGAAGGAACACTTCCCAGCTTGTTTATATCAACATGAACAAAGACATTAAAAAGAAATAAATTACCAATATCTGTCATGAATATAGAATCAAATATTAAAAATATCAAATCCTGAGGAAAATATTAGCAAATTCAGCCCAGCAATATATACAAAGAATAATATATCAAGACCAAAAGAGGCTTATTTCGAGGAAGCAAGATTGTCTTGAAAGTCAGTCAATTAATTCATCACATGAACAGAAAAAAGGAGAAAAACCATAGGAACAACTCAATAGATGCAGAAAAAGTCAGAGCTGCCAACTTGGGCAGTTGATGTCATCCACAAGAGTGGAAAATCATGGCCCTTCACTTAATTTCCAGATTTATATCAGTTCATAGTTCCAGAGCTCACTGATTGAAGGGAATTGTGATTTTCAGGGAGCACAGTAAGGTTCCCAATTAGCTAGAAATTGCAGCTACCATTTGGCAATGTTGGGCTCTTAACGCCAGTGAAGCCAAGAGGAAAAGAAAGGAACTACTGGGTAGGGGATAACTGACTCATTACTATGAGAAACTTGGTTTGCTGGTACATAACGGGAACAGGAAAGTGTATGTTAGGAACTGAGAAGATTCACTGGGGGCACATTTTGCTGCTGCTTTACTGGTGGGCTGTTCTAACAATGATGATTCTACAAGGTCAAGGAAACCAAGGATTTAGACCCCTTGGGAATGAAAATCTAGGTCTTCCCACTAGAGAAGCAACACAGACCAGTCAAAATGGATGCCGGATGAGGGCATGGATGAATGGCAGCTAAAACAACCCCAGAACCAGTTGCAGTGGTACAGATGTAACAAGTTTGGCTTGCTAGCCCTCTGCTATGGTTTGAATATGTCTCCCAAATTTCATGTCAGAAACAATCTCCAAATTCATATGTTGATGGTATTTGGAGGTGGGACCTCTAGGAGGTAATTAGGATTAGATAAGGCCATAAGGGTGGGGCCCCCATGATAGGACTGGCAGCTTTATAAGAAGAGAAAGAGAGACCTGAGAAAGAGTGGACATGCTCTTGCCCTCTCACCATGTGATGTCCTCCACCATGTTATGACATACCTAGAAGGTCCTCACCAGATGCTGATGCCTTGATCTTGGACTTTCCAGCCTCCAGAACTGTGAGTTAAATAACTTCTTTTCTTTATAAATTATCTGGTCTATAGTGTCCTAACAACAGAAAATGAACAAAGCCACCTTCTTTAAGTCTTTTTAGGAGAATGCATATGACAACACCTTGAATACTTGGATTTGCATCTCCCCTCTTGGAGAGGAATGGAAGGTGTCTTTCTCTGATATGAGATCCATATATTACAGATGGCTATGGGTAGATGTGAAAGGCCCAAGGGGTGGACTGTACTGGATTCAATTTGTGTGCCACCCCAAGTCCATGTGGCCACATATTCTTCTATCTCAGTCTTGGTCACTTGCCTTGCTTTCCAGTTGAGCAGCCTTAGCAAGAGCTCACACTATTGTTCCCACAGCACTAAAGCCAGACTGTTGTCACTGCTGTTAGCACTGCTACAGATGGAGGATCCTAGCAGGTAGTATTGTATAACCAGGCCAGATTGGAAGCTATGCCAGAGCCCTGGACTCCCAGAAATTTGGGCTTCTCTTGAGGTTGCTTGAAGAGACCAAATGACATGTCATAGAAGAGCAGTGGAGTACATACTTTATAGAGTCGACTTTGATCAGTGGGAGCTGGGACCAGTAAAGAGGCAGCAAATAATAATTTTTCCATTTCTCTTCATGAATGAACTATTAAGAGAGGGAACAGATGAACTGTTGAGATCAGAAGATGATCTGAAGGACTGAACAATCAGTTGCACTTGCTCTGAAACAGCCCCTTTTTGTTAAACATCTCACTTTTATTTTCTCTTCCTCTTTCCCTGCCTCAGTCTCTTTTTCCCTTGATAAACGTTTTCCAATAAAGCGTTAGCCTGTGAGCCTCTCCCCTGGGCAGGCTCTCTCCTCCAGGAAACCCGGGTAAAGACAGGTGGTAAGGATGACATCGTGTCGTTGATGAGGATGCCGATGGAGTTGTGATGAGGTTGGTGAAAGTGGTGGTGGTGATGGAGAATGACGGTACTGAGGTGACAACGAGACGAAGGGTGTTGGTAATGACTTTATAAATGTTTTATAAGGACAGTGAAAGTCTGAGAAGTCCAGGATTATGGTCAATTATATTCACTCAAATTTGGTGTTTTTCTCTGTAGTTCTCTTTCCTAGGGGAGGATTATATGTCCCCATCCTTTTGAACTGAAGCATGACCATGTGACTTGCTTTAGCCAGTAAAGCTGTAAAAGCAGCGTGTGCTTTGGCCATATTCACTTTTCTTCTGCTGTGATGGCAGCCATCTCTTGTGGAGGCTGCTCCTTCAGCTCTGTTCTTGGGGCAGAACCATAATTGACCCATGACAGATATTCAGCTTGAGTGGGAATAATCCTTTTTCACTGAAAGTCCAAGAGATTTTGGGAAGTTTGTTACCACAGCATAATCTAGTGTATCCTGATTTAGATAAGGGAGAAGAAGTCTGTCTGGGAAATGTGCCTTTGGAATATTAGTGATAAATGAGAAAAATGACTGCCTCAGAAAGTTGTATTCTCCTTTGAAAAAAACCTCTGGATGGAAGTTTTGGGGAGAATCATAGTCCATTTTAATCTGGACCAAAGAGAAATGAGGAAAGCTACCTTCATGGGTGACAACAGCTATTCAATTATTCCACACTTGCACATCTATATTAGTGGGGCTCTTCACGGGCTTAGGAAGTTCTGCTGAGTTCTCAAGGAGTGGATTCATATACTTACCGGCTGCAGTGGAGCAGAGAGGGAGGAAGATGGGGTCATCAGGTAGGGGAGTGTGGCAGGGAGTCTTCCAATGTCCTTGAATCCTGCTTGACTAATGCAATCAGCTATGTGAGGCAGGAGCCGATTCTCCCCACCTTCCCCCACTAGCCCACAGGGGGTTCCTGCTAATGATTAGCTCAGGCTGATTCTCATTAATGCTCTTTATTTACAGGCAGATGAATCAATTATGGAAAATACGGTTTTCTCTTCTTAAGTCGGTTTTGTGCTTCATTTTCGATCTGCTGGTGTTCTGGGCAGAGTGCAGCGCCCCGACCTTCTCAGGGTGATGAGTCTGGTGAGAAAATGAAGAGGGTGTGTGTATTGGTGGTGGGTGTGAGGGACGGAGGGATACAAGATGGCTTCATTAGGAACAGTCAAGGGGTGGAGACTTGGAGAGGAAGGATCTAATTGAGTGTGCACCCTCCTTCATGTCCCCGCCTTGCCCAGAATATGCAAATCCTGATGAAAACCAGGAGCTGAGAGAGACCGTGTTGTCTCCAGAGGACTGCTGAGATCCTTTGCTAACAGGAATAAGCACAACTTACACTAGCTTGCAGAGTGGGGCTGCCTCCAAGCATGCACTTATGCTCCTCGACCTACATTTTCTTTGTCTTTGTAATGGAGATCGTGTGTGTGTGTTGGGGGCGGGGTGGGGGGGGTGAGTGCATGAAATCAGCAAGTATGTGAATAATCCTGCAGTCACATCTATGTACTGAGCACCTACTATGTTCTACTCTATTAGGGAAATGGCTGGAAAACAGGCAGTCATGACCCTATTTCCTCACAGTGTGGCGAGGAAGACAGAGTTGGAGCAATTAAAGATGCAATAGTCCATCTAAAAGAGCTTCAGTTGGGGACCTAACTTGGCCAGAATGATTAAGGATTAAAGAGTGCTTAAGATGAGACCTGAGAATGGGTAGCAATAATTAGTGGTAGTGAATGCATTTATACAAAATATATACTTGTGTGTACATGTGGGTGCACATGTACACACAGGTGCACGCGACAGATGTACACACGAAGTAAAATTCTAGGTAACTGAGTAAATAAATTAGTCCACAGAGAAAAAACTTCCATATTGCCAAGTTTATCATCCATTAAACACCCAGAAGATTTTATTGCCAACAAATTAGATGTTGATTTTTAGAAAATTAATTATATATTTCCCTGCCCTCCTAAGCAGCGTAAGTATCGCTTTCGTCATATTTCAGGGTCTTTCGCTATGACTGACATGCCAGTAGGATGCTTAGAGAGAGGGCTTCCTCAGGATTTATTTGGGGGTATGTAATAATTTTATTGCACTGAGATGGCTTCAGACTGCTTTGCTTTTTGAGTTCTTATGTCTGCTTTTTATAGTTTGCTGTCTCTTTCTGTGCTCTCGGGCTGTCAACTGTCACTTCCTGCAGCTGTCAGTAAGCCTGGCATTGGCAGGCCTCACCACTATCAGCATCTGCCCCGCCCCCAACACTCACAGGCTCAGCGATTCCATTCTAATCAGGTACTGACTCAGTTGGCTTGGCTTATCCAAGCTGTAAAGCAGCGCTCTGTAAAGTGCAGCCCCTACCCCAGCAGCAGCAGCTCCACCTGGGAACTTGTCAGAAATGCCAGTTCTTGGGCCCCGTCCCGGACCTGCTGAATCAGAAACTCTGGGGGTGGGACCATGTATTTAACAAGCTGTCCTGGTGATTCAGATGTCCCTAAAGTTTGAGAACCAGTGCTGTAAGGAAGGATAAATAGGGTCCAAGCGAGGGCTGTGTTGCTCTCCTTTGTGCAAGCTGCGTGAGCTTTAGAGCATCAGCCCTGCCTATGTTCTGTCCAGTCAAGGAGCCTGTGTTCCTTCCTGGTTCTGGGCTGTGTTCAGTGTGATTGGATTGTTTCAGGATATCTGAGTTGTAGGAAGATGAGAGGCCGGCTGTGTGAGTCTGAGTGCACACAGAACAAGAGTGAAGGACAGAAAGATAAAGACGGGGCCAGAGCTATGGCTTATGCTCAGCTCCCCAGCTCTTAGCTGCTGGAGTTTCTTACATCTTGGTTCCAGAGCCCTGGCCTGAACTCTCCAGCCAGGAGCCCTGGCGGTCTTCAGGTGGCAGAAGGGTCTTCTGATTCCGTCTTGCTCTCCCACACATGAGTAGCTGCCGGGGGCCCAGGCTGAGTGGCAGGAACACCCAGAGAGGCAGCAGCTGCCGGTGATGCTGCCAGAGACTGTCCAAACGGAGTTCTGAGGAGGGACAGCTAGGATATGTGTGGGAGCCTCTGAGATGCATGGATTTGGGTTTGTAAACATGGGCCTGTTACATTTAGGGTGGGCCACGGGCTTAGGGAGAGCTCCGTAGCATCTTTTGGCAACAGTTGAACATTTTGAGTGGTTTTAAAACATTGCTTATTCCTTATATAGTAGGAGGCCTGTTTTAGCACAGCTTGTCGTCAAAGGGGAGGAGAGAGGAGGGCGTTGGCACTGGGTGAACACCCATTGTGTGCCAGGTACTTTGCATAAATCTTGTTTTGTCGTTACACCCTTCTCCAGGGGCTGGGGCTTATTAGCTCTGCTTTACAGACTAGGACAGCGGCCAAGAGCAGAGGTCTGGGCACAAGAGGTGTCAACCATAGTGAGTCCTGCATGACCCCAGCACTGATACGAGGAGTGTGTTTTGTGAGTATCCAAGACTGTGTAACTGTCAGACAACACGGTAGTACTGAGGGCCCTCTGCCCACAGTGGGAGCACATGGTTGCACTCCTGACATGAGGCTCCAAAGCTGGGCTAAAGTTCCTTTACGATTGACTTGCTCAGTCTGCCTACATCGGTATTTGCTGGAGAGAGAGAGAAAGCAAGCATCTGCTGAACGTGAATCCTGTGAGATGCTCCTCAAATTCAAAGTCCCACTGGCCAAATCAGTTCGGGAATTGTCATAAACTTATCTATACTCCACTCTTGGAGGTCACGATTCAGACTGTATCAGGCAGAGATCAGCTAGAGCCACAGAAACAGTAGGAAATACATATTAAGAGATTTATTGCAAGGAATTGGTTTATGTAATTGTGGGGGCTGGCCAGGCAAGTCTGAAGTCCCAAGGTCAGGCTGGAATTCTAGACCATGGGGTGAAGCTGCTGTCTGAAGGCAGAATTTCTTCTTCAGGGAAACCTCAGCTCTGCTCCTAAGGCCTTCAGACTGATTAAATCAAACCAACCCAGATGATCCAGGATAATCTCGCTTATGTAAAGTCACCCTTCCCAGGGGACTGGGGCTTATTAGCTGTGTCTAATAAGATAAGGCTTCTTAGTCCCTCTGGGGGACAGATTATCTAGGATAATCTCCCTTATGTAAAGTCAACTGATTATGAATTTTAATCACATGTACAAAATACCTTCATGACAACACCTAGATTTGTGTTTATAGTTGACATCTAGCTGGGTGAGGTGGTCACAGCTGTAATCTGAGCACTTTGGGAGGCAGAGGCAGGAGGATTGCTTGAGGCCAGGAGTTTGAGGCCTCCAGTCTGGGTGACAGGGCGAGACCCTGTCTCTAAAATAAACAAACAAACAAATAAAGTTGACATCTAGAACTGACTGTCACACAAATAAACACACTGAGAAGTCCTCCACTAAAGACATCTTGGTTTCGCAGAATCTGTTGTTTCCCAAAGTTGTTTGAACAAGTCCCCACCCCCATTCCCTATCCCCCACAACAGCTGTTTCCACCCAGTATTCTACAGGGTACCTTGGAGATTGCTGCCCCAGCTGTCTGGCCCTTCCTGAGAGGTGCTGCGCAGCAGGAAGCCCAGGGCCGAGTCTGCTCGGTCTACAGGGGCTCTAGGGCAGGGTTTGTCCACTTTGGCCCTATCGACATTTTGGGTCAATTAATTCTTTGTGGTGGGGCTGTCCTGTGCACTGTAGGATGCTTACCAGCATTCCTGGCCCCTATGCACTAGATGCCAGTAGCATCTCTTCCTCCCGAGCTGGGACAACGTAAAATGTCAAATGTCACCTGGGGGACAACATTGCTCCTGTTGAGAACTATGAGTGTAGAAGAAGTTAGGAGACAACAAAGGGCTTTACTGGCCCGGCAGCCTGAGTTTGAATCATACCTCTGTGTTACTTTTGTTTACTTCCATCCTGCCACGTTCCAAAAGGATGTGAGCCGTTAAGTCTGTTATTTAATAGCTCCACGGGGAAGTTAATTCTACTTTTGTGAACCTCAGTTTTCACCTCTGCAAAATGGGAGTCATGACAAGACTTATCTTGCTGGTTATTGAGGGATTCACTGAGGTGGAGTGTGTAGGGTACCTGAATCACAGTGGTTATTCCATATATGTTTGTTCCTTAGCCTTCCAAAAGAGAAACTGAGTCTCACAATTAGGATTTCATGGGCATCCTAAAATAGTGGAGTTGCAAGGATCTTGGCTGTCACCTGGTCCATTTTCTAGATGAAAAGACCAGCCTGGCACCTGCCAGAGGTTCCAGAGCTCCAGGCAGGGATATTTCTCAACCCCGAGCTGTGAAACTTCCCAGGTGTAAAATACCTGGGGGCCCTGGATAAGAATAGCCCAGGTGTCCTCCACAGTTCCTGCTGCTGCTGAGTCTGGAGAGAAGCACTTAGGTGTGGACAGGCTCTAAGGACCCTCGGAGGGTTCAACACTGTCCTGGGGCTCCTCTCTAGGCCTCCTCTGCAGGCTGCTCAGGTCCTCCCCTTCCCGCAGGCTGTGATGCAGAGGCTTGAGCACCACGCTGCAGAGATTTATGAATGGCGCACCCTTGAACATAAGGTTGGGCCTTGCCAGAAGGTTTATTAATGGGCTTTCATCTAGCACTTTAGGTCTGCGAGCTCGATCTGTTCCCCTGGTCCGTGGCCGGATGTGGGGAGGTACACCACATCAGCAAAATTTTCCTCTTGGCTTGGTGGCTGGGACTTGGCAGAGTGGGGTGATGTAGATGCTATCCTTCTAAGCTCCACTGGGATTAGAACCCATAGGCCTCCTTTCTCCTCTCTTGGCTATCTCTGAGCCTACTGGGCTGTCTTCCTTGGAGGGGAGCATCTAGTTTGTTGTCATCTCCTGCAGTCAGAATGGTGACCACCGTCTCAGGCCATGGTGGGATGCTGAGAATACTGGTCTTGGGTCAGAAGCTATGGACTATGGGCATTGCTGCCTACCAACTGGATGACCCGAGAGAGCCACTGTGCCTCTCAGGACCTCAGTTTCTTCACCTGTAAAATGGGATAATAATAGAACCCTAATAGGATGGTTGTGAGTATTCACTGAGACTTACTCAGAGAGGCTTAGTAGGGGCTTCCTCTGTCCTTTCTCCCTGGCCCAGCACCTGGCCTTGCACTGGATTAGGCCCCCCTCATTGTATGGAGGGCATGAATTGCCATGGGGGCAGAGCCCTCAAGGGTGGAAGCTGGGCCACACAGTCACCCCAGAGGGTGCAACTTCAGAGGGCTCCTGCTTTATCCTTCTGAAGGACATCACCTCCCCAGCTAGGGGGAGCTTAAGGAGGGATCTCCTTACCTGTCCCTTCACACCTTGGATGCATTCAGATGTACCCGAAGCTGGGAGAGGGGCTGAGGAAGGACAGGTTCTTAGCATTGCGTCTCTTGGCATTTCTAGGCTGTTAATCACTTATCAGTAAAGATGTGAATCCAGAGCTTCCTCTTCCTAAACAATGGTCTAAAGTGGCTGCCACAGCATCTCCTGAGTGGCTTGTAAAAATACTGATTGTGGGGGCCTACCCCAGACCCATGGGAGCAGAACTGTCAGGGGAAAGGCCCAGAAATTGGCTTATAAAAAGATCCCTAGCTGCTTCTGATGCACAGACAGGCCTGGGAAAGGCTGTCTGGGCATCTGCCTACCCACACCTATTCTGTGTGGACCCCACAGGGTTAAAAAGCCTGTTTGGCTGTCAATCTTGTTAGTTCTGTGGGGAAGCAGGGCCTGCTCCCTTTGAAGGATGAAGGCCAAGTCCTGAGGGACAAAGCGCACCTTCCTCCACAATGACACAGGGCCTGGGAGGTCTTCTTGCTCCACTTTTGGCAATCTTGCCAGGATAGCAGGAGGCCATGCGTCAGAGCTCTGGGTATCCATTTCCTGCACTTTTTATTTAGATGGGAAGGTTGGTCTAGAATGGCTCTGAAGTCCCCTCCAGCTCTAACATACTGTGCTTTCAGGAAAGGAGCTCCAGAAACTGGAGGAGCAGCCTCTTCTCTCTGCCCTGGGGGTGGCCGAGCTCTTGGTGGTGGAGATTTGCCAATCCTAGAGGGCACGGTAGAGCTGCAGAGTGGTCGTCCCTGTGGCCACATGCAGCCCTAAAGTTCCAGGATGTGCCTGGTGGGCTTGAGCCAAGATGTGAGCTCAGCTACCTCCTTGCCAAATTCCCTATTCCTCACCATACATTGCCCTGCCTACCCCCGAAAACCGTGGTGAGCTGCTGAGCAGTTTTGAGCCTAAGTAAGGTATACCAGGCCATAAGTGAGGTAGACGTGTCAAGAACCCCTTTTCTACCCCATGCATTGCAGACTGCACCTGCTTCTCCTGTGCCATTTCTTCTCTTTTCTTATTTATTTATTTATTTATTTATTGAGACGGAGTCTTGCTCATGTCGCCCAGGCTGGAGTGTAGTGGTGCAATCTTGGCTCACTGCAACCTCCGCCTCCTGGGTTCAAGGAATTCTCCTGCCTCAGCCTCCCGAGCAGCTGGGATTACAGGCACCCACCACCACCATGCTGGCTAATTTTTGTACTTTTAGTAGAGACGGGGTTTCGCCATGTTGGCCAGGCTGGTCTCCAACTTTTGACCTCAGGTGATCCGCCCGCCTCGGCCTCCCAAAGTGCTGGGATTACAGGCGTGAGCCACCAAGCCCAGCCGCCATTTCTTCATTCAGCAAACATTAGTTAAGCACCCACTCTGGAGACATAAAAGTCACAGTCTATGAGCCTCAAGAAGCTACAGGCTGGAGGGGAAGAAGACAGACACAGGAGTCAAGAGCAGCTTTGCAATATCACAGGCTATCTAATGAACAAATACGCGCCTGGGGCTCCAGGTACCTTTCTGGAGATGCAGCTGGGGACTGAGGCAGGACCAATTCCAGGCTCCTCTGCCAAGGAGATGAACTTAACTTTGAGGTCTGTGCCTCCCCACCCCACACCCAGCTGTTCCTGGTCCTTTGAAGACCTCCAATTGGCCACTTCCAGGTTCCAACTTTAGAGGTATAGAATCCTGGATACTTTATCGTGGGAGGATAGAGCTGTCCTCCTGGGCTGCCCCTCCTCTCAGGCCCCTAGTGAGCAGCTGCTGCATTAGCTGGAAACTCCTCTGCCCTGATGAAGATGAGCAACCGCACCTCCTCCCTCCTTAACCTAACACAATCCCAGCCTTTGAGGGGCCCCTTGGGGGAATGAACACAAAGGAGCCTGGCAGTTTAAAAGCACTGTAATTGCACTGCTGGTTTCTAGCACCACTCTGGGCTTCCCAAGTTAAAGAAAGTTTACAAGGCCCCGGAAATAGCTCAGGTGCCAGCAGGCTCTGTAGAAGCAGGCTAGGGCAGCAGAGGGAGGAGGAGGAGCAGGAAAAGGAAGGGGAGAAGGAGGAGGGAGAGGAGGAACAGCTAACATGGGCTGGCCACAGGGCTAGGCAGCAAAAGGGGGAACAAATTAGACATATTCCTGCCCTTGGGTGCCTTATACCTCTGTAGGGGAATTAAGTGAAGATTACAAATGCCTACAAATCAGAACAGTAGGAGGCAAGGCAGGGAGGAGGGCTTAGAGAGATGTGAGAGGCTTTGGAAAGTATGTGGGGAAGTAGATAGACTTCAGGGGCAGATGGACTCTGAACCCCAGCATTCCTACCAGTGGGTGTGATATTCTGAGGCAAGTCACAGAAGCTCTCTGAAACTTAAATTTTCTACATTAGAAAATGGAGATAATCCTACCGATATGGGAGGAAGGCAGGGAAGTGCTGGGAGGAGAAGGGTGTGGTCCCTGGCTAGGGCTCCACTCCCGGGCCAGGGCCTACGGACCTAGGTGAGGACAGGCATTTCTGCTTTCGTGGTCAAATGTTGCATTTTCCAAGAACACCCTGGCCTGCCACACCCCCATCCTGTGCCTATAAAAACCCTGAGACCCTAGTGGGCAGAGGCACAACTGGCTGGACATCAAGAGGAACACTCCGGAGGAAAAGCACACCCACAGGCACTGGCAGATGTAGGTAGGCCATCGACTGGTGGAACAACGCGGAGTTTGGCTGGGGCGGTCATAAAAGAGTCCGGCTGCTGTGCAGCCTGACTCAAGGGGAAAACCACCTTCCCACTCCATCCCCCTTCTAACTCCCTATCTGTCTGCTGAGAGCTACTTCCATTCAATAAAACCTTGCACTCATTCTCCAAGCCCATGTGTGATCTGATTTTTCCGTTACACTAAGGCAAGAACCTGGGATACAGAAAGCCCTCTGTCCTTGCAATAAGGCAGAGGATCTAATTGAGCTGATTAACACGAGCTGCCTGCGGATGGCTAAACTGAAAGAGCACACTGTAACACATGCCCACTGCGGCCTCAGGACCTTTAAATATTCACCCCTAGATGCTGCTATGGGGTCAAAGCCCACGCTCCCCACAACCAGCCCGGTTGCCTGCTCCCCCTGGAGATATGAGCAGTGGGGCACTGAAGTGAGCCAAACCCTGATGGCATGCCCTGTGAGGGGGATAAGGAAACTTTTCCCGTTTCACAACTGACCTAATAAAGCTCAAGTGGTGACTAAATCAGGAAACAGAAGTACAAGATCCTGTGTGGAGTAGGAATTTAACAACAGCAGCCATTGCTGTTGTTATTTAGAGCAGGGGTTGGCAAAATATGACCCTTGGGCCAAATCTGTTCCACCGCTTGTTTTTGTACAGCCTGTGAGCTAAAAATGATTGCTGCATTTTAAAATGTTTTAGAAAGAAACAAAAGAAGAATACTATTTCATGACACATGAGCATTGTATGAAATTCAAATTTCCATGTCCATAAATAAAAGTTTTATTGGAACACACCATGCTCATTTGTTTACATGTGGTCTATGGCTTATTTTGTTCCACAACTGCAGAGTTGAGAAGTTAGTTGTGACAGAGACCATATGGCCCAGAAGGCCTAAATTATGTACTGTGTGGACCTTTACAGAAAAAGTTTGCCAAGCTTGGTTTAGAGGCAGAAAGGAGAGATTGAACTGGGCATTGAGTACAATTTGCCTTGAGTCTGGCCTTGGGTGCTGGGTAGGATTACCATGAGTCACCTCAGAGGGAGAGGCTGGGACTAGTGTAGGTCTTTGGTGTGTAGGATGGAGTGGAGAGAGATTACTGAAGGCAAAGTGAGCCCCAGAAGCAAAGAACTTAAGGGAAAGAATGGCTTCCATTGTGAAGAAATCTCTTTCTCTAGCAGAATCAGGACAGGTGGGATGCTGGACTCTCTACAGGACTCCCCCCAAAATAAGGGTTGTATGTTTTGGGGGTGGAAGCTTCCTGGGTTTGGGTCCCTGAGCTAGTTTCCTGGGAAGCACGACAATATCCTCTTTTCAAGACCCAAATAGTAGATAGAAATAGGGCCAAAGAAACATGACAGGAAAACAGGCATGAGTCTGTCTGGATTAGGTCCCCAGAAGTGGCAGCAGGCTGTCTGCTATGCAGCAACCTCCCATTTTCTCCTGCTAAACAGTGACAGCTGCTGATTCAGCCCTTCTCTACTAACCTCAAGGCTCTGGGTTTACTCATGGACCTGACTCTGCAGAGGACACCCTAATTCCAAACTCGAGGGGAATAAGCAGCCTGCTGTGAAGTCCCCCAACATCCCTCCTCCCCTCCTCAGCCTTTCTTCATTTCCCAGGGTTTCCTCTCGCTGCCTGCAAGGAAGAAGTGTCTCTTTCTCTGCTCAGTCCAAACTTGCCACCGTGCTTTGATCTCATCCCTTCTTGGCTCCTCCAGGCTCTTGCTCTGTTGGTTATACATCTTTCTTGTGTTCTCAGTCTTGTGTCCACTGGCACTTTTCCCTGCCTCCTCTTGTTGGGAAGGTGACTAATATTTAATGAGCTCCTATTATGTACCAGCAGTCTGCTAGGTGATTGTATATGCTGTTTCATTTGATTCTGACAAGAGCCTTGAGGTAGTGTATTAGTCAGGAGTTTCAGTTGCCACTGAAAGAAACCCGACTCAAACTAGCGTAAACTAAAGAGGAAGTTTATTGGCTCAGTCATTCAAGGATGAACATCAGACATGGCTAGATCCAGGTCCTTAAAGAATGTCCTGAGGAATTTCTCTGTTTCTCACTTCTGTCTTCTTTTGTATTGGCTTCATTCTCAGATGGGCATAACTCATGTGGGGACAAAGGTGGCCATCAGCAGCTCTAGACTAATATTCTGCCTTTGTAGAAATTCCCAAGCTAACAGAGGTTTAGCAAAAATCCAGAGCTGACTCTCATTGGCTTGGCCTGGGTCAAATGACCTTTCCTGAACCAAATACTGTGGCCAGAAGGTTGTAGTACTGTCACTGGCCAATCCAGGGCTAGCTGCCCACTTTTGGCAATGAGGGCATCAGCCCTAGAAAATCACATGGACTGGGTGGGAGAATGACATGGGCTCCTCAAAGGAAAATCATGGTGTTGACACCAGATGATGGCAGCATCGTTGCTGGGTAGGCAAGAATGACAGCTGTCTATTAGAGATAGATCTTACCATCCTCATATTACAGATAAAGAAGTTGAACCTAGAAGAGGTTTGGTGCATACCAGGTTCCATAGATAACACTCAGTAGAGATGCAATTTCTACCCAAGTTGGGCTCATTGTATTTTTTTTTATTTGTTTTAGACAGTCTTGTTCTGTTGCCCAGGCTGGAGTGCAATGGCCCAATCTTGGTTCACTGCAACCTCTGCCTCCTGGGTTCACATGATTCTCCTGCCACAGCTCCCGAGTAGCTGGGATTACAGGAACCCGCCACCACGCCCAGCTATTTTTTGTATTTTTAGTAGAGACGGGGTTTCGCTATGTTGGCCAGGCTGGTCTCAAACTCCTGGCCTCAAGTAATCTGCCTACCTCAGCCTTCCAAAATGCTGAGATTACAGGCATGAGCCATGTTAGGCTCATTTTGTATTCTATTTGGTTTCCAGGCTTGCCAAGGCACTGCAGCAAGCTTCAACTTGGTCAGTGGATAGAAGGGGACAGAAAAGGGAATGGCAAGAAAGAAAGTAGTTTTCAGAAAGAGCCAATGAGAGAAAAGCCAATGAGTGAGTGAACCTCAAATGGTCCCCAGTGGCTGAGCAGAGGTGCTGGGAATCAAAGAATCTCCAAGGTAGACATCTACACTGCAGAGACCTGGCCTCTCTGTCTGCTCCAAGGGACACTTACTGTTATCCTGTCCAAGGCTTATTCCAATCAATCTTCATGTCTGGCAAAGGCATTGTAGCACACCTGAGACAATGGGGTTCTGAGGTCAGTGCTGTGAACACACACAAGCCCTGGTGCTTCCCAGAATGACTTCAGAAAGCAGAGGAGTCCTGTGACCCCAGGGATGAACCCCCATATTGGGATGAGCTGGCCAAAAGCCACCTGACCAGATATTTCAGTTCTGTATCCACCTGCAACCTTGCAAAGGAGAGGGACCCTCTGAACAAGACCACGAGGATTAGGAGAATTTGCCTGCAGGAAGCAGTTTTCTGCTGGTCTAGAAGATACTGGGGTGGAACTGTTTTCTGGAAAATTTGGGAATAGCTCTGTCAGTATACTCATACGGTGGGAGGGAACACACACACACACACACACACACACACACACACACACATTTTTGAGCATTTTATCTGAGGTCTCCAGACCATAATATGGAGAAATAAATGCCCTGGAAAAGGCTTAGTAGGGGGTGCTGGTGTTAGAGAGTCATGGCAGACACAGGGCACCAGGAGGGGCAGCTGAGGAGGGATAAGAATGTAGACCCAAAAAGGAAAGATTTGAGACCACCTCATGGTTCTGCTACTGATCCTCCTGAGAGGCAGAGATGGGGACTGAACTCAGCATCAGACCCTAAAGAGGAAGTGGCAGGTTGACTTTGAGGACACTGCAGAAATGTTGTGTAAGAGCTCTGCTTTCCTCCCACACCCCAGCCCCACCCAGCTCTTCTGTGCTTCCAACCTGAGCTCCTGGAGGCTGAGGAGAAATGAGTTGAACATTCCTAAGTACAGAATGTCTTAGACTTAGAACCTGTGGGGACTGGCCAAGCACAGTGGCTCATGCCTGTAATCCCAGCACTTTGGAGAATGAGGTGGGCAGATCACGAGGGCAGGAGTTCGAGACCATCCTGGCCAACATGGTGAATCCCCGTCTCTAATAAAAATACAAAAAATAGCTGGGTATGATGGCATGCGCCTGTAGTCCCAGCTACTCAGGAAGCTGAGGCAGGAGAATTGCTTGAACCCGGAAGGCGGAGGTTGCAGTGAGCCTAGATCGTGACACTGCACTCCAGCCTGGGCAACAAAGCAAGACTGGGTCTCAACAACAACAACAAAAAGACCCGTGGGGACCTGAAAAGCCAACTTGTCCTATCCTAGTGAAAAAGTACCCTTGATAGTGCT
The DNA here is from genome assembly GCF_000001405.40 of Homo sapiens. Lineage (NCBI taxonomy): Eukaryota > Metazoa > Chordata > Mammalia > Primates > Hominidae > Homo > Homo sapiens. The sequence goes on along the minus strand of NC_000015.10, from coordinate 88,391,434 downwards.
TCATCCTTAGAAAAACTCCTCCTTCTATCACACCCAAATTTGCCTCCCAGTAACTCCTAAAGTAAAGAATGGTCCCAGTTCTGGCCAGTTGGCATCATGTTGGACCAGTTCATGCCCCTTTCTCAGGGTTGATCCAGGAAGTGTCAGTGACGCCATGTGGTCCAAACGGCAATACTCTCCATGTGCGTGTGCATGGGCTCTGCACGTGTCGGGGTGGTGACGTGTATTGTTGTGCATTCAGGCAACCCAACTGGTGAGTAAATGAGCGGCTATATTTATCTCCGCCTCCCGGGCCCAGGAGCTCCCGCGCTGTGACAGCAAAGGGAAAAACAAGCACACGGGGAGATGCCTCACATTATTGTGACAAGTAATTAGGGGATGTGAGATGTTCAGAAGTTATTTTATTAGACCAATGCTGCTTATAAACCCCACGCAACAAACATTCCTGGGGAGTTGCCTCTGGTCCTGGGATTCTGCTACTGAAATAATTTCAGCTCCTCAGAGCCCAGGGGCAATCCTGGTGCCTCTGCGTGGCAGGCTGTTTGGGAAGGATGAGAGGGTAGTGTTAAGTTTGCAGGGAACGATCTGGGTTTGAATCTCTAACTGCATGACCTTAGGCAAGTCAACTTACTCTGTTAGGCTGTAGTTTCTATTTCTGGAGGGGGAATGATGCTTCAGGAAGTGTCTCCAGCAGGCCCTACCAATAGGGCTGCAGGGACAAAGAGAAGTGGGTGTTACCAGATCCCAGGCGCTGGGGCTTGCCTGTGGGAGCTGGGACCATTGGGAGCAGAATATTGAATGTCTACTACTGCTAGGAGCTGGAATAGGCCCAAAGATCAGTGTTGAACAAGTCTTCCCCTTGAGTTGTTCATCATCCACAGAAAAGACAGATCCTGGTACAAGAGCATTTGAAATAAAAATTGTAGCATCCTAGAGCCAAGATCAGCAAGCTTTTCTTTTATGTCAAGGACCAGAGAGTAAATGTTTTAAACTTTGTGGGTCATGCAGTCTCTGTTGCAACTATTCAACTCTGTAGTAGTGCAAAAGCAGCTGTGGACAATGCCTAAGGGATTATGCATGGCTGTATTCTGATGAAACTATTTATGGACACTAAAACGTGAATTTCACATAATCTTCACATGACATGGCATATTATTATTTTGATTCTTTTCAAATACCTGAAAATGTCAAAACCATTCTTGACTCACGGTCTGTAGAAAAACAGATGGTGGGTTGGATTTGGCCTGTGGGCCATAGATTGCAGGCCCCTGGCATAGAGAAAAACCAATGGCATCTACTAGGGGTGCCAGGGAAGGCTTTGCTGAGGAGGTGGCATGGATCTGGGTCTCGAGTATTCAAGGGTTTCACTTGGAGCCAGTGCTGGTGAAAGGAGGGATGTGTCTTCTAGGCAGATAGAATTGCAGTTGCTTGGGCATGGAGGCATAAGCAGGGTATCTGGGGGATGGTGGGGAGTTTGGAGTGATTGGATTATAGGTGCAAAGTGGGAAGGTGTTTGGGCTGGAGAGCAGGTTAGGGTGGGAATGAGAAGCCTTTATAAGCCATGAGATGGAGTTGAGCACATTCTGGGGGCTGGAATGGCAGTTTCTTGACTTTTCAGGAGGCTTCACCTGGTCATGGCAAAGAGGACCAGGGAGAGGTTGTCCCCACAGATTGAAAGGATGACATGTGAGAGCCTGATGCAGGCAGTGCAGTGGGGACAGGAGACAGAAGATACAGGCAGCAGAGAGGAGGAGAGGCCATCTCTAAGGCCACAGATTCCCAATGGAGTGCTGTTTATGGACTAGGCACCCCATTATGTGCTCTCTCTGTGATGACCAATGGGTATCTAATGATGCATCTGAATGAGGGGAGAGGGCCCACTGTGTTCCAGGCACTGGGCTAGGAGTGTGAAAGTTGATGACACAAACTGGGTCATTCTTGCCATACTCTACTAAATCAGAGTCAGGAGCCAGGGGAAAAAAGTACTCGGGGCACGGAACACCGGCTCCAAGAATTAAATTTTCCACAATTGCCACTGCTGAAATGGCCTGCTGAGACCCCAAGGCCAGTTTTACCTAGTAACTGCTGAAACAACCTGCCGTGACTCTAAGACTGGTTTTACTTACCACAATCACCCACCAATCAGAGCTTGCCAGCTCCCAAAAGGCTTCTCTAGAGCCAATGAGCTTTCTTTCAAAACAATGCATAACATTTCTCTTTCTAATAAAACTCTCAACCTTCTCTTTGTTCTCTGGACATACTGGAGACCACCCGGTCTGTGTGTAAGCCCTAAATTGCAATTCTTGCTTCCCAAAACAAAACATTTATACTTTAGAGATTTGTCTCTAGACTTTATTTGACTTCAATGGGAATACATTTAGATACGTTATCTCATTTAATCCCACCACTATCCTACAAAGGGAGTTTATGATTCTCAGTTTACAGATGAGAAAGCCAAGGCCCAGAAAGATTGAGCAATTTGCCCAGGCTGCACCGTTAGTAAGTGACAAAGAGGAGCTCTGATCTTGGGTTAATTATTCTCAACTCTAATCTCTTTCAACCTGATGCCCTGCTGGGGGTAGTTTTTCAGTGTGTGTGGGGGGCCCTAAGCCAGAAAGGACATTCTTGTGGCCACCTGGAGGCTGCAGAGGACGGCACAGCAAGCCATGGGAGGTGGAGGGAAAGGGGTGGGAATTGGATTTGACTCCAGAGCAAGGAATCAAGGGTGTGGCTCAGAGACTCTAGCAAACAATGTCACCGCCTTTTGTGTGGTCTTTCTTTCTGAAACCCCTGCCTAGTTGGGAAGTTGCAGCAGGGCCTTGGGAGTGATTCCAGTCACCCTGCATACAGAGCTGTCCTCCCACAAAAGGAACCTCCTTGACCCCTGCCAAGGCACCTTCCCAAAACCATTAATTCGATTCCATCCCTCTACTGCTTAAAAGTGCCCAACTTTTTGTGAGTCAACAGAGTCTCCAGATCACAACCACAACCTGGGTCCCAGCAGGCAGGGCGGGCCCAGCCACCCTGGCTTCCAGTCTTCTTTCTCAAGTTTACTTCATATCATCCTCAAAACTCTTTTGCTGCCCTAGCCCTCAGTGAGGTACAGTTGCTGAGAAGCCCCCCACCATCCACCCTTTCTATAACCCCGGGGAGGTGCAGTCTTCAAGGTGCCGTTGGGCCCTGCCCCCTCCAGTCTTCCTTGGCTGTCCTGTCCCCTCCCCTACCATCCTGTGATAGTGTGAAGTCCACAGTACCCTCTGGAGCTTAGTGCTGAGGGCTGGTTCTAGGTAAATGGGGAAAGTCAGGGCTTCAAAGGGAAGCCAAGGGCATTGAGTCCTAAAGCAAAAGACTGCTGGATGGAGGAAAGGACACAGAGGAGCCAGAGATAAGGGGAGCCATTTATTAACATAAGACTCTGAGGGGCTGGGGTGAGTGTGTGGAGGGAATGTCCGCAGGACTGGCAAGGGTCCTAGGGGGCCCCTGGTCATCCTGGCTCCCCTGGGGGCTGTCATGGCTCTGCTGTGAAAACGCCTGTTATGGGATGTGCTGAGGGCCATAGTTAGAGGGTGGGACCAGAAGGGCTTTGTATCTCAGGGAGGGGGCCTGTGGGGAATAAAGCTAATCTGATAAACGGTAAGATGCCTTGATTTCCATGTTACTTCACTGACCTCAGGAAGCTCTATAACCTGGAAGGGTGGCTTCATCTCCTAACACTTGTCATGGTCATCACAAGGCTTGACTTTGAATAGCTACTGGACACTGTACTTTCATGGGCATTGTATCACCCAGTCTTCCTAACAGCCCTGTGTGGTGGGTGTCACCATCCCCATTTTACAGATAAGGATGCTGAGGCTTAAGATTAAACATGACTTGCTAGGCTCCTCCTAATGATCACCACCCTGACCTTCAAAGTTACCAGGGAAGCCCTCTTTTGAGTTCTCTGTCCTAGCAGGAAGGCATTGTGTTTGCTAAGCATTCACCAGGAGCGTAAAATTTGTATTTGTTTTTTACGAAGTTTCTCATGGAGCTAGTAAGTGACAATCCTGGGATTCAGACTCTAGTTCTGTGCTCCTTCTAATAACATCTTGGCCAGGCTTGGTGGCTCCTGACTGTAATCCCAGCTACTCGGAGGCTGAGGTGGGAAGATCACTTGAGCCCAGGAGTTTGAGACCAGCCTGGGCAATATAGCAAGACCTTGTCTCTAAAATATATATAAAGAACACCTTGTATTGTTACTTAACTGCAGGTGTCTGTGCACCTGTGGTCTTAGTGAAATCATACACTCCTTGAGGGTAGAGACTCTGTTTCCTGCTCTGTGTAAGACCCCCTTCATGCCAGGGACTGGTACATAGTAAGTGCTCAGTCAACATATGTCTGATTATCTCTTCCCTCCTACCCCAAATTGGATGTGCTCAGCCTCTAAATCATTCTGCCTAGGAATGAAGGGATGGAAAACTGCCATCGATTCCCTTGGATCTCCTTCCTCTTGGGGATTTTTGAGGCATATTCCCACAGCTGACCTTGGGAACAGAGATTCAGTCTTTCAAATACAGCATTGATATCCTGATTACATTCATTCCCGTGATGCATCTTCTCATGGTCTTGGACAGTTTAGACTTTGCCTGGTAGGAAGGTGGTGGGAGAGACAGTGGCCCCTCATGATCCCTTTGGGCTGCAGTTTCTTGGATGCCAATTTCTCATGTCTGGCCTGGTTCCACTGTCCACTGTGGGACAATTGCACTGAGGACTCAAGCTCACAGTCCCAATTTGGGGCTCAGGAAGTGGTGATCTTTTGTAAATAACACACAGCCCCCAACTCTTCCTCCCTCCACACCCAGTCCACCTCTTCTTTATCTTTCTTCCAGCTAATGGTTGCTACCCTGGCACAAAGGGTGCTGCTGGGACCTGGGGAGGGCCCCTCTCCCAACTTCTCTCTCCTAGCAGGAGGGCACTGTGTTTGCTAATAGGTGTTAAATGGGAGCATCAAATTTTAATCAGCTTCTTAATGGAGTCTGGGGACCTGGGGGAGTTCTCGAGTCCTGCATTATGCTGCTTGCCGGAGCCAAGCTGGACATGGTGAGTGGGAAGGTGGGATGAGCAGCTGTTATCAAAGCCAGAACTACTGGAAGATAAGGTGGTGCTGATCCAGTTGACAGCAACTTTCATCCAGGACGGTGGGCAGCACAGATCAAGTGACTACTCACAGTGACCCATCCACTGCTGACTGCTTCTTGGTGGGAATCAGGTCTGGCAACAAAAGTGAACATGGGAGAACATTGGAATCAGAAGACTCAGGTTTATATCCTGGGATTTTCAAGTTGAGTGGATGACTGTGGACAAGTTCTGTAGTGTGGTAGCTCATTATTACAATGGTTCCCAGTGAATCAGGCCTCCCTGTGTCCTCACCCTTTTGCAACAGGATGTTGCCACTTCTCCCATTAATAGGTACATCTCTCTATCTCCTTGGTACTGGGCTGGCCTATGGCTTCTCTGACTAATAAAATAGAGCAGAATTGTCATTAGGAGAGTTCTGGAGCTTGGGCTTTAAGAGGCCTTTTAGCTTTTGCTTTCCACTCTCTTGGAATGCTGCCCCGAGGCCACCATGAAAGGAAGCCTGTGTAGCCTACTGGAAGGTGAGAACCTAAATGGAGGAGGACCAAGGTGCCTTGTTCACAGCCAGCATCAACTGCCAGACATGGAATGAGGACATCTTCAACATCCAGCCCCAGTCAAGCTGTCAGATGACTGCAGCCATATGAGTGATCCCAGGTAAGACCTGCAGAAGAACCACCCAGATTGTAAACCTACAGACTGTGAGACATAAAAAATCACCCTTGTTTCAAGGCCTTGAGTCTTGGGATTCTTTGCTACTTGTTAATAGATAACTGAGATGCTTAGTGTTGGATTCTCAAATGTAGCACAGGGCCAACAATAAGTACTTTGTCCTTGGGAGGTGATCAATGAAAAGTGCCTGGGACATAGTAAGTGCCTGGGAAGATAAGCACTGTCAATGAGGCTGAGAAAGGAGGGTGAGGTCGGTTAGGAAGGTCAGTTGCCACAGTAAGAAGACATGAAATTATTCAGCAGTGGTGGTGGAGATGAGAGAGGAATGATGTGCAAGACATTTCAGAGATGAAACAAAGGGACTTGATGAATTACTGGTACAAGCAAGAGAGATGAGTCAGAGATGACTTGGAGGTTGCCAGCTTCGATGAGTGAGTAAATAATGCTGCTGAGGAGGTGGGTGGCAGAGCAAGTCTGAAGGGTAAAGATGAGTGAGTTCAGTTTTGAGCCACTTGGTGTGAGCAGGAGACACTGGGATGTAGTTGGGTATGTGGCTCTGAGCTTAGGATAGGGGCCAGGGCTGGAGCTGGAGATGTGGAGCTCACTGGAGCAGGGAACCATTGAAACCCAGAGGTTAGGGACACAGGGCTATAGATATTAGGGGTTTTTCCAGGGACCAAAGTGAAGTACAGTTGAAATAACGTCCAAGTGGCCACCCTGCATGGCCTCATAAAGATTCAGTCTAGGCCAGGCACTAGGTGGCTCACGCCTGTAATCCCAGCACTCTGGGAGGCCAAGGCAGGTGGATCACGAGGTCAAGAGATAGAGACCATCCTGGCCAACATGGTGAAACCTTGTCTCTATTAAAAATACAAAAATTAGCTGAGCATGGTGGCATGCGCCTGTAATACCAGCTACTCGGGAGGCTGAAGCAGGAGAATCGCTTGAACCCTAGAGGCGGAGGTTGTAGTGAGCCCAGATCACGCCACTGCACTCCAGCCTGGCAACAGAGTGAGACTCCATCTCAAAAATAATAATAATAATAATAATAAATAATAATAATAATTATTATTCAGTGTATAGGGGGTTAGACCTTCAAGAAATCCTCTATTTGGGAAGGAAATATGAAACATCGGTGGGTCTCATAGATTACTGGATCCCACACTTCCACAGTGTTGTGAGCTGCAACTACTTTCAACTCTCAGTCTATGATTTGGTTCAACTTCAAAAAGCCCATCTATGAAACTCAACAAGGAGATGCTAACTGCAGTGCCCTCCTGGCAGAGGATTAATGAATGATTTTTCCCCCTTCCTTCTACTTTTTTGCACATTCCAGTTTTCTATAATAAACATCCAATCCTTTTTTTGGCATGCAAGATTTTTAAAGGAGAAACATTTATTAAAACAAATGAAAACAAGAAGCTTTAAAGCTGGAGAGTAAGAGCCTAACTCCCAGGAAAAAGGGGTGCTCCAGATATGGTTCTGCTCTTAGACACCAGGATCCCACTAAAAAGCAAAGTCCAAGGAAGATAGAATGGGGGCGTGGTATATGGTCACTCTCCTTGGGAGCTGCAGAGACTGATCCAACCTCACAAGTTTCCTGGAAATCTAAGGGCAGTTGAAGAAAGATGGTGGTGGGGAGGGTGAAGTAACCTGGTCTTGACAGGCGTTTGGGAAAGCTGGTGTCTTGGGTACTTTGTTTTGAGTTGGTCACTCATGAGGGTAGCAGAGCAAGTTCAGGTGGGCAAGGCCATATGGCTGGGCTCTCCAACCAGGAAGAATGACACAGTCCAAGTCACTGAGCCCTGAGGCCAGGCATGGAGGTGTGAAATCTGATCTGGAAGGAGGATTTCTGGAAGCACTGGGCAGTTGGAGAAAAGTCCAAAGCTTTGCTCAGGGAGTTCTGAGATGCATGTAGTTGGAAGAAAGCTGGCTGGGGTCCTGGGAAGGGTTGGGGAGAGGAAAAGGACAAAGTGAGGTGGCCTAGGAATCAGCCAGCTGACCTAGAGTGGCCCTGGGAATGGTGCCTAGGTGGTGGAGAGGGAGGCTGGATCTTAAAACCTCTCCCATAGGCACCCTGGCCTCAGCTCACCCTGGCCCCAGCTGACCCTGTCCTGCTGACACTGGCTGGCTTATTCAGGTTGTTTTCATCCTGTAGTTGCTATCAGCAAAAGGGCCCCTGATGTATCCCAGCCCTGGTCCTCTGTACTCAGGGCTGAGTGTGCAGTAGCTGGGAAGAGTTGGGCAGATGGGCTGGAGAGAAGAGAATTCAACCGGGGGATGGATTCCCTCCTCTGTCCAGAGGGGCTGTTATTCTTGCTTCCCCTTGGCAGAAGGGTTATCTTGAAAGAGGGAAATCACTCACCTCATTGCTCTGAAAGGTCCTTTTTGTTGTTTTGGGAGGATAATCATATGAGTTTGGGGAGGATACAGTGACATACAGGACGTGAAATAGCTTATTATGAAGCCAGTGGCTGTGCGAAAGTGGGGTATTAGGGTGAATACCCCTGGAAGGGTAGGGGATCCCTCCTACTTGTTCAATGTCTGTTTCCCCTGGAGCTGGCATATGTCGTGGTCATGACTACAATGTCAGGTAGGTCTGTTGACTGCTTAACTGACATCAGTCTCCTTCTAAGCACTTCACAGACATCATCTGTCTCATCCTTATAATGACCCTGCTGTCCCCATTTTACAAACAAGGAATCAGAGGCACAGAGAGTTAGCTTGACTCACAGTGCACACATCTAGTAAGTTCCAGAGGCTGATGCAGGCTGTCTGCTCCAGACCTCACACTATGAACCAGTGCCCTCTACACTAAACACCTGGCATGGTGCCCACAGTAGGCACTCACTTGGCAGTGAAATATTTGTTGAATTGAATTAAATCCAACTGACATTCCCAAGAAAGCCAAAGACCGTCAGTTCTTAGGAACCTAATCTCTTTACAAACCGCGTTTGGAATCTCTGTTACTAGGAAGAAAACTAATGAGGTGAGTGGGTAGGTTTTCAGCAGGGATCTTGTGTTTCCATTTTTGTAGCTGGTGTGGTTTGCTGCCGCTACTCCTACAGCCCTCCCTTGCCCTCTTGAGGATGGAGAGCCCACTATCCTGCGGATAGGAGCAGGGGCAGAGCAGAGATCAATTCCCTCCTTGCTGCTGGAGCCTGTGAGGTAGAGGCTAGACGAGCTCGAGCTGAATGCAATTTTTGTTAGAGTTCCCTTCCCGTCTATGAATGCAAATCCTGAATTACAAGCCATCCGGATGACAAGTTGACATTTTAGCTCCAAACATTCTCCTATAATTAGCAGAATCTAATGCAATACAGGGAATGGCTCCATTTTACACACACATTATCGTAATGCCTTTAAATAAGATAATTGATTATGCCTCTGCATAAGAAAGTGAAATATTCGGTGTAATTAAAACCAGCATTCCGGTCCTGGCTCCCTGACAGGTGATCCACGTGTCACTTAAAAAATCCTTAAAGTAATGCTCACACCCACATTCTAGTTTTCGAAGTTTGTTGTGGAAAAAAAAAAATTTGGAGAATTTTTTTTTCTTCTTCTCACGGTGTCCTGCTTTGGGTCTGGAAATTTGAGTGGGGGTGGCTACTGACTTTCTGGGTATTTCTGTGTTTCTCCTCAGCTCTCTGACACTATCACAGACTCAGTCTCATGTTTTCCCACTAGATCTTCATTTCAGGGATGGAGTAAATGAGGCTCGGGGAAATGACAGGAATTCTGTGACAGAGCCAGCCTTGGAACTTAGTTCTGTCTGTCTCACAGCCCTGGCGATTAGATTTTATTTTGAGTTCTTTTGCTAAAAGTGGGGAAAAGTGTGGTTTGGTGGACAGGATGTAGGACTGGAATCAGGAAATCTAGATTCCAGCCTTGGCTTTGCAACCAGTTAACTTCTCTGAGCCTTGGTTTCTCAGTTGCTACTACACTGATTCACCAGGGACAAAATTAGATGAACTATGTAGAGTGAGAAGTCTTAATTATAATAGAAATTCAGTAGGTAGACTCTTGGGTAGTCTGGGGTCAGGGTGGGGAGGTTACTTGTTTGAGTAAAGTCAGATTTGGCCATGGACATTTTAGTGGCTTTGAGGTCCAGGGGTGGTTGTGGAGAGTGGCTCTCCAATGCTGTCTCATCACTCCTGACTCAACCTCTATCTTCTGGAAGTTGAGGAGTGGGAAGGAGATGGGAGTGTGTGATACCAGTAGGAAGGCCAGCTGGGGATTGTGTAGGCAGCTCTCTGCCTCGCTAGTCCCTGGAGATGACGCTATAGACATGTCAAGCAGGATTGCCTCTGTCCTGCATTATCTCACCCTCTCAGTAACCCTCCAAAGGGGTTAGTCTGTGGCATGCTTTTGTGGGACAGCTGGTGGGTATGTTAGGGAAATGCTCCGGGGCTAAGACACTGTACTATTCCAATTGGGTTCTCCTAAGGGGGCAAACTAGTGACATCCTTATTCTCATGAACCCCATTGCTTTATCCCAATAACTGTACTTGCCTCGTCAAAGCCTAGCTTCCTACAGGGATGTCAACACTACTGTATTTGTGCAGAAAAAACTCTTCCTAGTAGTGTCCTGTTCATGCCTGTGTTAGTTTCCTATTGCTGCTATAACTAATCGCTACCGACTTGGTGGCTTAAAACAAATTATCTTACATATCTAGAGGTCAGAAGATAGAGATAGATCTCACTCAGCTAAAATCAAAATTTCATTACAGCCCATGTTCCTTCTGGAGGCCCCTGGGAAGAACAGCTTCTAGAGACTGCATTCCTTGGTCATGGTCTCTTCTTCCAACTACAAAGTCAGTAATGGTGGGCCAAGTCTTTCTCATGCTGCTGTGTCTCTGATTCAAACTCTTCTGTCCCTGTCTTTCCTATTTAAGGATCCTTATAATGACATTGAGCCTACCAGGATAATCTGGGAAAATCTCATTTCAAAATCCTTAACACAATCACATCTTCAAAGTCCACTTTGCCACGTTGTAACATATTTAGAGGTCCAGGGATTCAGATATGGGCATCCTTGAGGGCAACAGCTGTACCTACCTTAATTCTTTACCTACAAGCATAATCGTATTAGTTATGTATTCCTTTTTAACAAATCTCCTCCAAAATCTGTGACATATCTAACAAGCACTTACTATCTCACAGTTTCTGTTGGTGAGGAATCCAGGTCTCTCTAGCTCAGGCTAACAGGCTGTCATCAAGGCCGACAGGAGCTATGGCCACCCCAAGGCTTGATGCAGGAGGATTCGCTTCGAAGCTCACTCCCATGGCTGTTGGCAGCCGTGGGGTCACTGTTGGAGGTCGGCTGGAGATGTCAATTCCTCACTGCGAGGGCCTCTCCACAGGGCAGCTCATGTGGTGTCAGCAGGCTTCCTTCAGAAGGAGCAAGTGTGAGAGCAAGAGAGGGCACTCAGGATGGGAGCCACAGTCTTTTCATAACCCGGTGTTAGGAGTGGCATTCCGTGACTTCTGCCACATTCTATTTGTTGGAAGTAAGCCAGTAAATCTAGCCTACATTCGAGGAGAAGGGATTACACTGTGTGAACACCAAGATATGGCAATGAAATCTGTGGGCCATCTTAGAGGCTGCTTACACCAACCACCCATACCACTTTTTTTTTCTTTTTTCTTTTTTTTTTTGAGATGGACTCTTGCTGTGTCGCCCAGGCTGGAGTGCAGTGACCTGATCTCAGTTCACTGCAACCTCCGCCTCCAGGGTTCACGCCATTCTCCTGCCTCAGCCTCCCGAGTAGCTGGGACTACAGGTGCCCGCCACCACACCCGGCTAATTTTTTGTATTTTTAGTAGAGTTGGGGTTTCACTGTGTTAGCTAGGATGGTCTCGATCTCCTGACTTTGTGATCCACCCACCTCGGCCTCCCAAAGTGCTGGGATTACAGGTGTGAGCCGCCACCCACACCACTTTTCTTAGGGAACTAATGGTCAAAGATTAGTTATCCAGGATTTAAGGCAGGAGATCTCAGACTTTAGAGACTCCATCCCAGTACATAGGAGAGTGAGTGAGGTATTGGGACTGAGGGTAGGTATGTGGGTGACAGTGAAACTTTCTTCTATTTAAGTTAAGGGCTCTCAAACTTAGGAGGTATATTAGAATTATTGGGAAACCACAATAACATACCAAAACTTGGGCCCCAAATCTGTTTACTCTTATTTATCTGGACTAGGATAGAACCCATGCATCTGTGTTTTTTTCTTTTTCAGAACTTCTGAAGTGATTCTGATTTGCATCAAAGTTTGATAAACTTTGCTCTAAAGAGTTTTCTGATGTCTAAGAGAAGGGGTTTGGAGACACTATGGAATGATTTGAAGTCTGGATCTTCTCAATGATGGATCTTTGAGATGATCTCAAAGTCTGGATCTTCTCAATGATGATGATGACTGTTGATGACCTTGGTAATAATAAGAATTATTGTTTATGTGAGTATTTAATACTTGCCAGGCACTGTGCTATGGTGCTTTTCTCCAGAGTCTCAGTTTCCTCGATGCAAAATGAATGGAACAGGATCAGTCCAACAGAAGGACTATGAAGTCTAAATGACTTAAGTCTAAATGATTAAGTAAAATGTCCAGGGCAACGCATGTGACCTGGTAAATGCTCAATTTACAGGAACCCTTTCTTGTCCTGGGCGTCCTAGATCTCCTTTTGGGGAGCTGAGACACCATGAAACAAGAAACCACACCTGCCCTGAGGCCCAGCACATTGAAACTGCTGGACAAGGCTGGGCCAACTCAGAGGCACCTATGAAGGACATTGTGTAGTGACCACAGGCCTGACGGGCTGCCCAGGAGACCATTATGCAAGCCTGGGCTAGGGTGAGGTTGGCTGTGTGGTGCACCCAAAACCTCCATTAAAAGGCTTAGGCTAGCAGCCTGAGCCAGGAGCAGTGACTCTGAGCTATTTTTACCTCCAGGTGATGGAGCTGGATCTATTCTTTTTCTTAGAGGAAATTCTATGCTGGACATGGCTGTACCTCTAAGGCCCCATTCACTTCTTTTCACCGATGACTGAGCTCCACTGACAATTATTTCCAGAATTCCCAGACCTCTGAGGCTTCTCTACCACCACCTGGCAGCATGGCCTGCAGCTAATGTGGGTGTAATTCTTTGTGTGGGCAGGACTTTTGGCCTCCCCTGCTTAAGCCATCACCTAATTGCTCTGGTATGCCTGTACTTTTCTCCTCTCATAGCCTCAAATAGGAAAGTAGAAAGGGCTGATGACCCAAGCCATCTTCTCTATTCTGCCCTTAGTAGAGAAACGGAGGCATAGCATAGGGCCTTGCCTGTTTGCTGATGGCAAGAGCTTTGACTGTAATTGAGAAGTTTCAAGGTTCTTAGAAGCTTCAACCCAGTGAGGATACTCATGAACTGACTCATCTTGTATGATTTTTTTTTTCAGCCTGAAGCTGCGAATAGGGATTAATGATGAAGACAAAAGACGTTCTGTAGTTCTAGTTCCAAAGGGGCTGAGTTCAAGATGGGTTTGCAACATTGAACTTACAGTCAGAAAGAACACCCTTTATATCCTTGGTTTGCCACTGTCCTGCTGTGTTACTTAAGACAAGTTAGTTCACTTAACCTATCTCAGCCTTCGTTTTCTTATTTGTAACGTAAGTGTATCAATCAGCATGGGCTGATGCTGCGGTAACAAACAAGCCCCAAATCTCAGTTGCTTATCACATCAAAGTTTTATTTCTAATTTATTTTTCATGTCCATCCTGGGGCCACGAAAAGCTGCACTACATGTTGTCTTTATTCTAAGGACTCAGACTGACAAAATAGTTGCCATCAGAAATGTTGCCAATTTCTGTGGCAGTGGGACAGGGGGAGTGGGGGAAAATGAAGGTACATGGGCTCTTAGAGTTTCCACCTGGAGGTAACCACATGATCCTGCTCACATTTCACTGGTCAGAGCAGGTCATGTGGTCACCTCTAAGGATGCAGGGAAGTGCAGTTTTACCATGTGCCCAGAAAGCGGGGAGAACTGGAAATATTTGGTGGATAGCACTCCTGGCTACCACAATGAGCACTGTTATATCAACTTCCTTGTGGGGTTATTGTAAGGATTAAAGGAGATAATGGATGAAGAATCACTTTGCAAATAATAGATATTGCTCACAGTAAGATATTGCACACGTGACATTTGGGGGGCAGTCATGTGCCAATCACTACGCCAGATATTCATAACAGCAGTGCATCCCCAGACAGAGTTCAGGAAGGGCATAGCTTGCCTAGTTTTGCTCCCTCTTGGCACTGGAACCTTGACTGTAATTGTCAGGTAGGGTCCACTAGCCCAGGTATGTGCAGGTACCAAGAGTTCTTCTATTGGAGACTTTTGATGCTGCCCAAAGTATTTCTTGGGAAGGGCTCACCCTTGTGACTGTTGACTACTGATCTCCACAAGCAGAGAGAGCATCAGTGGTCCTGATGTCCGTCTGTCTCTGCACCTCCTTACTAAGGGGCAGGTAAGTCTTTTAGTTCAGTGGATTTGAGACAGTTGTGGTCTGATTTGGATTTTATTCCAAATGCCCCTCTGCATTCTTGTCCATCATAGTCTGCTCTGCGCTGAGATGTCTGCTTCTTTCTTTGAGGCATTTGGAGTGGGAAGTCTTTCTGATCTGGAGAGGGTCTTGTGATGTTACTATTTCCTGTCCCTGTCAGAGGTTCTTCTGGCAGGAAAAAAAAAAGCCCTTTGGGATCAGCAATGTTTTGTTGGTGGCTCTTTTCCCATGCTCTCTGACTATTGGGATTTGGGGTTTTAAGCATCTCTCCTCTTTTCATGGGAAGAATTCCTGCTTGAAATTCAAACAAAAAGAGATGCCTAGGTCCTTAACATCTGCGTGGGCCAAGAGACACACCCCTGGCAACAGTAGCTCAGAACTTAGTCACTCTGTGTGCAATATACTCTTGCAAATGCATTATCTCATACCATTCTACGAATAATCCAGCATGACAGGCAACATTCTTATCCCCATTTTACAGATAAGGAGATTGAGGCTACTTGCCCAAGTCACACAAGCAGCAAGTGGCCTGGATTTAAACGTACGTCCTCAGATTTCAAGCCCACTGACCCTTTCACTAACAGCTGTCCTTCATAGTGTGATGCTTACCTTTCTTTGATGATGAAAGATCTGACTATCAGTTTTAAAGCTGGAGGGGATTTTAGAGGTGAACTGGTCCAAATCCATCATTTTACCAAGGAGGAAACCTGAGAACCATGGATGGGAGCGATTTGCCTGATGGCACAGCTCACAGTGAGCTGTCGGAGGTCTCACTTCACGCTTTTCCTACTGTATTTGAACCATGATGATGCACTTGTTGCTTTATTTCTCTCTATTCTCTACCCCTTTTTCTACAAAATTCCATCCTCATTTCATAACATCACCTCCAAGAAGTCCCCCCGGTCATCTTTTCTCCCCCAGGTTAGGTTTGGTGCCTGCTTTATGCAATGTGAGACCCCTATAACCTTCCAGAGTATAGGATATACTCATTGCATTGTAACAGTTTACTCATTGATAACAATGCACCTCCTACTCCATTCATCACTTGGAGAGGAGAAATTGGGTTTGTTTTGCCTGTGACTCCATACTTGGGGCTGGCACTTAGCAGGTACTCAGTGCTATGATCATAAAAAGGAATGAGGAAGAGAAGGAAGGAGGGATGGAGAGAAGGAGGAGATATAAAGAGGAACAGAAGGAAGGGAGGAAGGAAGGAGGGGAAGAAGGATTGTAGAAAGGGAGGAAGGGGGGAAAGAAGAAATGAAGAAAGGTTAGAGGAAGGAGGGAAAGAAGGAAGGAAGAAAGAACAGCTTTCCAGTATGGCTTTCAGCGTGGGCCCTCTCTTGCAGGGTGAACGGGTATCTCCTGTGGGGTTCTCCCCCATCAGGTCTCCCAAGGGCCAGGGAGCAGGAAAATCTCTCAGCTGCTTTTGGGAGGCCTGCCCTCTGCCCCCTGAGCTGTTCTTTTTGCCAGCAGCCGCTGGAAGAGGGAAATGAGTGAGGGGGAGAGAAAAGAGAGTGAGGGGGAGAGAGGAGAGAAGGGTGTGCTGCTCCAAGGCAGGGGAAGAGCACTTAAAAAATGTCACTTAGAATCCCTGAAAGAATAAGCTGTAAAAACAACCACACGCTCTCTGCTGGGTGACGCAAGTCAAAGAGAAATGCGATGCAATTAGTCACTGGTTCTGAGTAGGAGGTGGATAGTGGGGGAGGAGGCAGAATGGGAGAATGGTGAAGGGCTAGGGGGCAGCCTCCCTCACAAACTCTGCTTCATCTGCTCCAAGACAGCCTCCGTCTCCTTGGGGAGATGCTGTTTCTTTCCTTTCATCTCCCTGTGCGGGTCAGGGCCCCATCTTACTCCTCCTCTTTCTCTCCCACGAGATGGCACCTTCCACCTTTGCCAACACAATCACATTCTTAGGCCTAGAGTTGGAGAGAGGAGCCCAGAGACTCTGGAGGCTCTGCAGTGGGAGGGAGGCAGCCGGAGACCAGGGGATCTGAAGTCTAAAGGGCGGACGACCTTGATCGTGGGGCCGCCCTGTTGCTTCCATCCCCAGCTCCCAATCTTCCTGCCCACCTTGGCCCAGGTGGAATGTTTGACCTGTTCAGGAGTTTGAGGGGGTAATTCACTCACCCCACCCCACCTGCCAAGCATTTATTAAGCGCCTATTATGTGCCAGACCTTGCCCTCATGGAGCTCACAGCTTAGGTCAAAAGGATGGAGAAATCAATTGGCAAATAGGATGCTGAGTGGTGGGGAAAGTGCTGGTGACTTCTCATTTTTATCTGTTCAAGATCTAGTGTGGCTGCTTTCCATGGAACTGAGGGGTGGACCCAATGACCATCCCTCATCAGGCCCTCCTTCCTTTCCTGGGTAGGGCAGCCATCAATCACGATGAGAAAGTCTAGGTACTGAACCTTCACAGGGCAGTGGGCTACGTGGCAAGAGAGGTAGATACAGGAAAGAAGGATCCTGAGCTTACTGGGAGAGTCTGGGTCATTCTGTCTCTTAAGCATGGCCATTCACAGAGTAGTCCCCAGACCAGCAGCAACTGCATCCTCTGGGAACTTGTTAGAAATGAGAGTTCATGGGCTCCACCTAGACCTTCTGAATCAGATGCCCAGGGAGTGGGTTCCTATTTGGGTTTTCAAAAGAATTCCAGATAATTTCCTGGGTCATGAGAGTTTGAGATGCACTGTCTTAAGGCCTGGGTGAAATAGTCACAAATCCTGGCTTGTCCTGGGGTAAGGCTGAGGCCAGTCTAGCTCAGCACCTTGATTTTTGTGGGACCTGATAATTCTTATCTATTTAGTACCCTGGGCCTTTAATAGCACCTTGGTTACAACCCAGATAAGGAACATAGGCTCTTCTTGACCCACCATTTTGCACTTTCATGCCTCCCAGATGCAGCTCACATGAGGTACATCATAGATTTTTCCTTGTGATTTGAGGGCACATTGAGGGGAGGAATGTCACAGAACTGCAAACCGATAATTTAAAATGTAATATTCCCCTTTCCTGTCCCTCAGTCATTTCTAACAACTGAAGCCCCCGGTGATGTTTCTAGGCTTCCTCTCTCCTTCCTGCCTTTTCCTCTTCTCTACATTTCCATTTCCATGCATTTATTAGCTAAGGAGCTTACCTCTCTCTTTGTTGTCTCCTTCCAATCCAGTCCATCACAATCCCACATTGTACCACCTAAGAAACTCTGATGGTATTTTTACAAATAAAGATGGTTCCTTCCCTAAGAGCCTCTCTGGTGCCATTTGGTAAAATGGTAGTTTCAGCCTGGGGCAGTGGCTCATGCCTGTAATCCCAACACTCTGGGAAGCCAAGGAAGGAGGATCACTTGAGGCCAGAAGTTCGAGACTAGCCTGGGCAACATAGCGAGGCCCACATCTCTACAAAAACTAAAAAAGAAATTGGCCGGGCATGGTGATGAGCACCTGTAATCCCAGTCACTCAGGAGGCTGAGGCAGGAGGATTGCTTTAGTCCAGGAGGTTGAGGCTACAGTGAGCCATGTTCATGCCACTGCACTCCAGCCTGAGAGACACAGAAAGACCCTGTCTCTAAAAAATAAAAAAAAAGGTAATTTCCCTTATCCCACTGCCTTAGGAGCTGGGCTGCTTACCCACTCCCAAAGGGGCTACTGCAACCACGGCCTTGACAAGTACCTACTCCTTTAGGCTGAAGCATGTGGTCTGCTCTCCCTACATCAGCGTTCTCTCCATTTGGGAAGCTTCTCTGGCTTTTTTAGTGACTTGGTTCTTGGGTGGATGCTTCACCCCACTGAATAAATTCCTTATCACTCTTCCTTTCTCTTGCTTGTCCTCTTTTATTATTGTTTTTCTTCCAAAGACCTTTGCTCATTCAGCAAATTCTTTTCTTTCTTCTTTTGGATCCCTCAATCCTTAGATGCTGCCTTCTTCTATGAGCTCTAACCATTTCCTTCTTGCCTTCACCTCCAGCAGCCTGCACAGCAAACCCCTTGCTGGAAGGAAGATCATCCCCTGACCCTGGCCAGACCATGAGAACTGCCTCAGTGGTGGACTCTTATTCTTTTCAGACTTGCGCCTATTTTACCTGTTTACCAAACTATGGATTAGACTGATGTTATTTAAGCTTTCAGGTAAAAATGAAGGCAAATCATAGCACTTTCTCCTGTGCACCCCAGAATAAGCTTGTAATTAGGCTCTTCTCTTCAAATGGCAGGAGCACTTGTATTTCACCAAGGAGGGCGCCTTACCCTTCATAAGTTTGTTTGAATTGACCGTGGAGGATCTTGTTAAACTTCTGTGGATGGATGGATGGGTGGATGTCAAAATCTTTTCCCATCTTCACTTTTTTGACCTGTCCATCATCTGCAAGAGATTGTCAACCTTGCCCTCTCCTCTCATTCTCCCTCCAGGCTGTTCCTAATGTTGGTCCATTTCTAGTGTCTCCTATTTCAGCATTTCTTTAAGTTTTCCTGTTATATAAGATGGGCACCAGCCAGGCGCAGTGGCTCCCGCCTGTAATCCCAGCACTTTGGGAGGCTGAGGCGGGGAGATCACGAGGTCAAGAGATTGAGACCATCCAGGCCAACATGGTGAAACCCCGTCTCTACTAAAAATACAAAAATTAGCTCGGTGTCTAATTACAGGCAGGTGCCTGTAATCCCAGCTACTTGGGAGGCTGAGGCAGGAGAATCACTCGAACCTGGGAGGTGGAGGTTGTAGTGAGCCGAGATTGCGCCACTGCACTCCAGCCTGGCAACAGAGCAAGCCTCCATCTCAAAAAAAAAAAAAAAAAAAAAAAAGATGGGGCACCTCCACCCCTTCCCTACTTTTCTTTGCCAGAATTAGGACCCAAATCTAGAACCAAAATGTTAAGATTAAGTAGGTAAAAGGAGAGGCATGGAATGCTGAGTCCTGGCCACCACATTATCTTATCTGGAAAAACTAGGTCTTTGGGGCACGTCAAGCAGTAGACAGATAAATGACAATGGATTTCTTTTCATGAACAAGTAAGGTTCCTCTCTCTGACCTCTCCTTGGTCCGGAGATTCCACATCTTTGAGTGGAAGTCAACAATCCTTTTCCCGGGTCAGATTTTCCAGATATGAAGACCAAGAGGGCCTGGTCATTGTAACAGCCTCTTTCCAGTTGATCACAGACACTGGAGCTTTGAGGGTCTGAAGATCCATGATGAACAGGAGGAGTGTCCACCCGTTAGGCATCTGCCAGGTGGGCTTCCCGCCAACGAATGACCCTCCTTATCACTTTTCAGGAGTACAAATACAAACAGCCTGCACAGGGTGCATCAACTGGGAAAGCCAAAACCACCCAGGACCACCTTACATCTGTCGTAGTGATCTCATGTCCAGCCACTACAGGGACATTATTCTCTGGCACTGCTGCCTCTGCTGCCGGCATCTCTTATCCTTGGGGTAGAGCGCAGGGACAGATTTTCCATCAGTGAAGGGCATGGAGGCTAATAGCACAGATCCTTTTTCCTTGGAAAGTCTTAAGGAGTTGCATATGAGGGTGTGGGGAGGGAACCTAAAAACACACAGATGCAACAAAATCAGATCCCACTGTCCGGAGACCACCAGGCTCATGGCAGCAGCTGAGAAGCTTACCTTCTGGGCCAGAATTTTGGGCTAATGTAAACTGAACTAGAAGGATAAGAGGCCCTGCTCCATGACCTGTTGTGGGATACCGTGATTCAGATACTAGGGCCAAGATGCAGAGGCTGAGAATGGAAAAAGGCTGCAGACATTTCCTTTGCAATGTAGGAAAGCCTAGATTGTGGAGAACCCGGGGCCTGTGGTCTCGGACCCCTCATGGTGCCAGCACATAGTAGGCCATTTAGTATATGTTGCCCAGATGAAACAAGTGGCTTGGCTTGAGGAGAATGCCAGAGGGGGGCTGATACGGGTACCCCCAAACCCAACAGGCAGGGTGGATTAGTTTGTTCTTGCATTGCTATAAGGAACTACCTAAGACTGCGTAATTTATAAAGAAAAGGGGTTTAATTGGCTCACGGTTCTGTAGGTTGTACAGGACGTGTGGTTAGGGAGGCCTCAGGAAACTTACAATCGTTTCAAAAGGCAAAGAGGAAGGAGGCACATTTTACATGGCTGGAGCAGGAGGAAGTGAGAGGCGGAAGGTACCACACACTTTTAAACAACCGGATCTCATGAGAACTCACTATCACGAGGACAGCAAGTGTGAAGTCAGCCCCCTTGATCCAATCATCTCCCACCAGGCCCCTCCCTCAATACTGGGATTACAATTCAACATGAGATTTGGGAGGCGACACAAATTCAAACCAAATCACAGGGGCTTCCCTTCTTCCCATGTTCTGGCTGTGAGAGGTCACTGAGTCTCTTCACTTCTCTGAGGCTCCAGCTTCGACATCTGCAAAGCGGTTCATGATATTGATTTTGTGGGCTTGCTGTGAGGACTCAGTGAGATGACAGGTGTGCAGCGGGGGCACACTGCAGCCCTCATCAAAGTGTAGTACAGTCTAGTGCTGAAAGCCCCGGATTTGGAGTCAGACAGCCTTAGGTCCCATTCTTGCACTGCCCTTCCTAGCTGTGTGACCTTAGGGAAGTTACTTAATCTCTCTGAGCCTCAGCTTTCTCATCTGAAACTGGATAAAACAGTGCCCATTTGTATCAGTTTCCTATTGCTGTTGCAACAAATTATCACAAATGTAGTGGCTAACAAAACAAAACAAATTATCTTACAGTTCTAGAGGTCAGAAGTCCTCAACGGGTCTCACCAGGCTAAAATCGAGGTGTTGGCAGGGCTGATTTCCTTTATGAAGACTCCAGAAGAGAAGCCGTTTCCTTGGCTTCTCCATCTTTCCTTGTGTCCTGCCTTATGGCCTCCTCCATCTTCAAGGTGAGCAATGGCTGGTCTGGTTTTTCTCACATTGCTTCATGCTGATATTCTTCTCTCTCTTTCCTTTTTAGTGATCCTTATGATTACATTGGACCCATCCAGATAATCCAGGATAATTTTTCTATTTTAAAGTCAGCTAATTAGCAAACTTAATTCCCTCTGCAGCCTTAACCACCGCCTCCCTGCATCCACCATTCCCCCATCCCATGTAATATAACATATTCACAGGTTCTGGAGATTAGGATGTGAACATCTTTGGGGGCCATTATTCTGTCTGCCACACCACTTCAGGGTGTTGCTGCAAAGATTAAATAAGGCAGTACACGTAACCCCTGCTGATGTAAGGTAAGAGTATAGCAAACTGTGGCTGCAATCATCATCATCATCATCATCATTTTGCCATTTTAGTCCCCATTCTCTCCTTTGCTTCACAGGAGGAAAGCATAGGCCTCGTCCCTCTGTGAGGACCACCAGGTGTGCTGTGGCAGATGAAGCCTCACAGAGTTTCCAGCATGTCTTGCTGCTGACATTGGGCTCTCTATCCTCACATGCCAGAGCCCAGGACCGTCTCTGCTTGTAGACACGGAGCACAACCTGTCAGGAGGAGGAGACCAGCTTCATCTATCTCCCCCAGCCTGCTGTACTCATTCCACGGATCCTGGCTGGAGAGACGCTCCTGGACGTGTCAGAGCAGTTATGAGGACACGTTTCTGAGAGGCTTGCAGCTTCCTAATGTTCTTCCTGAGTTCGTGAGACTGTAAGCTCAGCCCGACTCCGTTGAAAGATGGGCTAATAAAATGGCTTCTTAGACAATGTGCCTATTAGTAATGCAACAGGATGTTAATCAGGAGAGGGGAGGGGGTGCTCACCACTCTCTTCCAGCTGAGGGAAAGGAACCTGTGGACTCCAGGACACGGGATAGAATGAGGTGACAGAGCTGTGCTGAGAGATCACTGTGTCCTCCAGAATTTGCGTGGCATAGGGGCAGGGACCGACCCTTGCCTAAAAGCATCTAAAGGCTGGAAGTAAATAGAGCTGCCTGTCTGGTAAGAATAGGGAGGGCGGGGGGAGGGGACCTTCCAGATTCCAGTTGAATTTTTCCGTGCCTTAAGAGGGTGGTGGGATTGAAGCCATTTGGAAAGGGGCCCATGCAAGAAGGACCCCAACAAAATGAAGTTGCATGCATTGTGCCACTGGATGTGAGCTCTGGAAGGAGGGGTGAGGCAGTTGCCTGAAAGTACTTCCCTGCACAAGGACATCATGCGGAGAGGTCCCCAAAGCCAGAGGGCAGGGCGTCCAAAACCCCTACAGAGGGCACCAGTGGCAGACTGCAACCATACCACTCATGATAACTTTTTTTTTTTTTGAGATGGAGTCTTTCTCTATTGCCCAGGCTGGAGTGTAGTGGTGTGATCTCGGCTCACTGCAACCTCCGCCTCCCGTGTTCAAGCGATTCTCCTGCCTCAGCCTCCTGAGTAGCTGGGACTACAGGTACGTGTCACCATGCCCGGGTAATTTTTGTATTTTCAGTAGAGAAGGGGTTTCACCATCACCAGGATGGTGTCGGTCTCGTGACTGTGTGATCCACCCACCTGGGCCTCCCAGAGTGCTGGGATTACAGGCGTGAGCCACTGCGCCCGGCTGATAACTTCTTTGACCCTTATTTTCCTTCTCTCCCATCCTCTGTCCCATTCCTAGACAAACCAGGTGCAGCAGGAGTGAACAGGGCAGAAGGTGATACAAGGAGAATGAGGAAAGCCACCACATCTTCCTTCTCCAGTGCAGTTTCCAGGAATAGGGAAGGGAGGAGCTTCAGCTCAAATAAGAGACTGAACTTTATTTATTTATTTATTTATTTATTTATTTATTTATTTATTTATTTATTTATTTATTTTAAGATGGAGTTTTGCTCTTGTTGCCCAGGCTGGAGTGCAATGGCACAATCTTCGCTCATTGCAGTCTCCGCCTCCCAGGTTCAAGAGATTCTCCTGCTTCAGCCTCCTGAGCAGCTGGGATTACAGGAGCCCGCCACCATGCTTGGCTAATTTTTGGTATTTTTAGTAGAGATGGAGTTTCACCATGTTGGCCAGGCTGGTCTTGAACTTCTGACCTCAGGTGGTCCACCTGCCTCGGCCTCCCTAAGTGCTGGGATTGCAGGCATGAGCCACTGATCCTGACCTAGACTGAACATTTTCTACCTGACTTTTCCAGATTTTTACTACACACAAAAACTGTTAATATCTAAAAGTAACCAAAGAAAATAATTGTATCTATATATATTATATCATGGGCAGAGAGGAGATCAGTGTTGAGAATTTTAAAAAAAGCAAAGGTGTTCGTGTTTGTAAACCAAGTGAGATTTATCTGATGAGCTGGCTTCAATAATTATCATCCATATCAAGGTGATACTTAAAGAGGCATCCTCACCTCACGGAAGTCTCACCACAGCACTGTGAGGAGGACACTTACTCTACTGCTTCACATTCAACATAACGGAGGCTGAGGCTTAAATGGCACACCAAGGTCACCCAGCTCCTGAGGAGTGGACATTTGATCTCTGGGCGGTCTGGCACAGAATGCCTGCATGAGCCACAGATCTCAGTGGGTGAAGTCACGTGGCAGGTGACTTCCCTTTATGACCTCAATGTCATTTCCCAACATTTAGGGACGGTGAAAAAGAGGGTGTCAGGGAAGGAGGCTGAGCTTGTGAGAAGAGAGAGACAGGGGAGCAGAAAGTTTTTTCTGACCTTTGCTGCATTTTGGTTTGTCTGTCTGCCAAGACTGGGAGTTGTTAGGTTGCCCAGGGGGCATTCTGTGGCGGTGTCAGGGAGTTCTGGGGGACGCAGGATTAAAGGTGGTGTGGCAGCACCTGCTGTAAGAGAGGCATGGTGCAGAACAGAGGCCACGGTGCTGCTCTTGGCGCTGGGACCCAGGGGTCCTCATCCCTGCTTCACGCCAGCCAGCCTGCCAGCCAGGTGACTGTGGGCAAGCCACCCCACCCCCTGAGCCTCAGTTTCCCCATCCAGAGCCAGAAATCCTATCTGACTACCTCCAAGTAGTGGCCACCTGCCCTGACTACCTTGAAGACGTGACCATCTGAGCAAGCCCTTTGTGAGCTCTGTGGCCATGACAAACTGGGACAAACAAATGGCTGGGCCCTGATGTGGGTCTTGCCCTGGTTTGGCAACCCTGCATCCAGACATTCTTTTTACCTGGGAGGATTCATGCACTTGGAGCATCTTGGTGAGAGGCAGAAGCCCACTTCGCACCAGGAGAAGCAAAAGGTGACACTTAACTTCCTCTCCTGGAATCCACGCCTATCACTGCTGCCCCCACAACACACACACAGCCCTCATCTGGGGCCTCGGAGGTTCTTCATCTGCAGGGGCCTCAGTTTCTTCATCTGCACAGTAAGGATAGTAATAGTGTGTCCGGAGTTGGTTCCTTCCAGCGGGTTCGTGATCTTGCTGACTTCAGGAATGAAGCTGCAGACTTTTGTGGGGAGTGTTACAGCTCTTAGAGGTGGTGCGGACCCAAACAGTGAGCAGCAGCAAAATTTATTGTGGAGAACAAAAGAACGAAGCTTCCACAGGGGCTGGCTGGCGGCAGGAGTCTGGGTGGGGGTGGGGGGGGCACCTTTTATTCCCTTATTTATCCCCGCCCATGTCCTGCTGATCTGTCCATTTTACAGAGTGCTGATTGGTCCATTTTACAGAGCACTGATTGGTCCATTTTACAGTGTGCTGATTGGCCCATTTTACAAACCTCTAGCTAGCCACAGAGAGCTGATTGGTGTGTTTTTACAGAGTGCTGATTGGCACATTTTACAAACCTCTAGCAAGCCACAGAGCACTGACTGGTGCGTTTTATAATCCTAGCTACAGAGTGCTGATTGGTGCATTTTACAATCCTCTTGTAAGAGGATTGTAAGACAGAAAAGTTCTCCAAGTCCGCACCTGACCCAGAAGTCCAGCTGGCTTCACCTCTCAATAGCACCTCCCTCACGGGGCTGTGGGGAGAATGAAATGCAAGCCTCTCTCCTGTGCTCCCCACAAATGACTGGAGGTGGCTATGATTAACTTTATTGTTCTGCTCTTGCTAGGATGCTGGCTTTCCCTGCTGGGCTCTGGAGTCTAATCCAGGGCCTTTTCCCATCTCTGAGGCATGGGCACAGAAGGCCTGAGGTTGACTTCCTTGAATGCTTCGGCTTCTCAGTAAAATATGGGTTCTGGCACAAGGAAGCAAGGAGTTCAGGATATTTGGCACCAGATGTGTAAGCACCGAAGTTTTCAGCAGCCTCACATCTGCTGCTGTCAGCACTGGGTCAGTCTTGCCCATCGCTCACTGATGCTTTGTGTTATGGGCACTCTGGCCCCCTACCCTTCCAGCTTTCCTGGGTCAGACCCAGCACATTATCAAGGTCACCTCGGCACCATGATCTGGGGTCCTGGACAGAAGGGGTCTCTATGTGGCAGACTCTCAGAGCGCAAAGAGGCACGAGAGCCCCTTTTTCTGACTTCCTCCTTTACAGATGAGGAGACCAAGTCCACTGAGGGAAAAGAGCCTCAGGATAGTGGAAGTGGGATGGAGCCCAGTCTTTGGACTGCAGGGAAAATCCCTTGGGCCCACACCCTCGGCCAGTGTGTCCTGGAGGCTTGCATTCACACACATGTGTGTGCCTGTGCCATCTCATTCTTCCCCTTTCCTCCTCCTTGACGTTTGTCATGAGCACATGCAAGATGCAGGGATTCCCACCGTCTTCCTCCTTTACGAGCTGTGTATTCTGAAGCTGCACATACCTCTGTTGCTTGCCCGACCCTGGCCCCCCACCCCTCTGCCCTCCCTCTGATTTATCTCTCACGAGACTCCTGGGATGAGCTGCAGCACTGAAGGCAGATGTATGCCCGGAACATCTTCAGCTGACTGCTCGCTCAGGCTGTGATCACTTATAATCACCGGGGGCCTCATCAGTAGATTTCTTTCCTGAGCTTGCAGTCCAGGGTCAGGTGCTTCCGAGAGGTAGCGGAAACAGACAAATCCACAATGGAAACAACCAAGTCCAACCAAAGGAAGGGGAAAGGGCTAGTGGGAGAGCAAGGAGAGGAAAAAATATTTCATTGAGTGACTCTTCAGCCCCAATCTCTCACTGAATTCTCACAGCTGCTCTACAGGTTATTTTCCTCTTTTACAGGCGGGAAGAAATGGCTTCAGAGAGGCTGTGAAGGCCACAGGGCAAGCAGAGGCTGGAACCAGGAGTCCAAACCAGGTCTGTCTGCCTCCAAAGTTCATGAAAACCTCTTTGTCACAGTTCAGTCAAGTTTCTGGAGAAGAATTTAACATGTTTGGGAAAAATCCATTGTATCCATTGTAAGAAGGAAGAGTTTCTCACTTTGTCCTTGATTTTTCTTCTTCAGAAACTCTTTTTCTTTATAAACTGATGTCTGTTTTTCATTTCCTCTTTCTCTTTCTCCTTCGCCACCTCTCTCCTTGCTTTCTCTTTTCACTTCTGTGGCTAAGGTTATCAAATGTCCTGAGTTGAGTTGCTTGTGGAATCCAAGGGCCCACGCAGTCATCTCTCTGGGTAGAGAAGCTGGTGCAAGCAGTGGGCAGGAGGAAGAGGCTGCCTGGTTGGTGTGGGCAGGAAGGGGACAGGCTGGCCTGGGAGGTGCCCCAGCTGCTCCTGGTTGCCTTGGCCTCTGGCACTCCCTAGACTGGGGACCGATGGCCAAATGGAAGAACCAACAGGGTAATGGATGGAGGATTGCCCACCAGGCAGCATGCCAGACATCAGGACACCCTATGCTGCTCTCCGGCTGAAGTTACCCTGGTCCACATGGTGAGCAGTCAGGATGGGAAGTCTGTAACTGACTTGGCACCTGAAATTTAACCAATGGTTATCAACTTAATAATTAGGTCTCTAACTCATCTATTCAACAAATACTTATTGAAGGCCTACTATACTCGAGACTCCTTTTAAGAGTCTAAATGGACCCTAAAATGATTAAATGTATGTGGCAGATAAGTCATAGGTTCAAGAAACTTCTAGCAGAAGGAAGAGACAGTGAACAAGCCTCATTTTGGAGGAGAAAGGGGGTAGAAAAAAAGGTGCCTGTGTTCAGATGTAAGACTTTTATTTCATTTCTCCGTGCCTCTTTAACCTGTTTCCTACCTTTGTGTTAATTTGTAGCAATTACAGATTGCAGCCAACATCAAAGACACCTGATGTGGATGATCAAAGATTCAGGATTTAAGTAAAGCAAACGGCTTCTCTTTTGTATTTCAAAGGTGAGTGATGCCAATGTTCTCTTTGGGCAAACACTCAGACAGCTCTACGTGTTCAAGGAACATCCATAACACCATGCCCCAGGTAGATGGGATGACCTGTGGATAATTTTTAGGGAGTAACTTCTAGGTCAAGTCATCTAATGGCAGGGCATTTCTTTTCTTTTCTTTTTTTTTAAATTGAGAACTATCTACCATTCAAAGAGCACCGTCATGTTCATGGGACATCCAGAGAGCCTCAAAGGCCATGAGTATCTTGGCATCCTCACTCAGAGAGCTCATATTCTTCCAATTGTGGGGGCCCCAGGGATACACCTGCCGGCAATACACCTGTTGCTGTCAATCATCACCTGTACTGGATAAAACAGTGGCTTTAGGGCCAGAACTTATTTTAAAATCTAGTTCTGTTATTTCCTGTGCAATCTTAGCTAAATTACTTAATCTTCATGAGTTTCAGTGACTCTTTGGGAAACAGAATAGTTAAATAGAAAACACAGAGTCTTTGAAGTTTGAATTTTTGCTCTGCCACTTACTTGTTGTGTAACCTTAGGCAAATAGCTTACTTTTGGGATCTTGGTTTTTACATCTAAAAAATGAAATAAAAAATAAACAAACAAAAAATAAAAATAAGCATAAAAATAAATACCAGCTTCACAGGATTGTTTTAAAGATTAAATAAAAAATCATACATTTCAATCACAGAGTCTGTATATATTACGTGGTCAAAAACATAATTTTTTTTTTTAGTTTTATTATTATTATACTTTAAGTTTTAGGGTACATGTGCACAACGTGCAGGTTTGTTACATATGTATACATGTGACATGCTGGTGTGCTGCACCCGTTAACTCGTCATTTAGCATTAGGTATATCTCCTAATGCTATCCCTCCCCCCTGCCCCCACCCCACAACAGTCCCCGGTGTGTGATGTTCCCCTTCCTGTGTCCGTGTGTTCTCATTGTTCAATTCCCACCTATGAGTGAGAACATGCGGTGTTTGGTTTTTTGTCCTTGCGATAGTTTGCTGAGAATGATGGTTTCCAGTTTCATCCATGTCCCTACAAAAGACATGAACTCATAATTTTTTATGGCTGCACAGTATTCCATGGTGTATATGTGCCACATTTTCTTAATCCAGTCTATCCTTGTTGGACATTTAGGTTAGTTCCAAGTCTTTGCTATTGTGAATAGTGCCGCAATAAACATATGTGTGTGTGTGTCATTATAGCAGCATGATTTATAATCCTTCCGGTATATACCCAGTAATGGGATGGCTGGGTCAAATGTTTCTAGTTCTAGATCCCTGAGGAATCGCCACACTGACTTCCACAATGGTTGAACTAGTTTACAGTCCCACCAACAGTGTAAAAGTGTTCCTATTTCTCCACATCCTCTCCAGCACCTGTTGTTTCCTGACTTTTTAATGATCGCCATTCTAACTGGTGTGAGATGGTATCTCATTGTGGTTTTTATTTGCATTTCTCTGATGACCAGTGATGAGGAGCATTTTTTATGTGTTTTTTTGCTGCATAAATGTCTTATTTTGAGAAGTGTCTGTTCATATCCTTTGCCCACTTTTTGACGGGGTTGTTTGTTTTTTTCTTGTAAATTTGTTTGAGTTCATTGTAGATTCTGGATATTAGCCCTTTGTCAGATGAGTAGGTTGCAAAAATTTTCTTCCATTCTGTAGGTTGCCTGTTCACTCTGATGGTAGTTTCTTTTGCTGTGCAGAAGCTCTTTAGTTTAATTAGATCCCATTTGTCAATTTTGGCTTTTGTTGCCATTGCTTTTGGTGTTTTAGACATGAAGTCCTTGCCCATGCCTATGTCCTGAATGGTATTGCCTAGGTTTTCTTCTAGGGTTTTTATGGTTTTAGGTCTAACGTTTAAGTCTTTAATCCATCTTGAATTAATTTTTGTATAAGGTGTAAGGAAGGGATCCAGTTTCAGCTTTCTACAGATGGCTAGCCAGTTTTCCCAGCACCATTTATTAAATAGGGAATCCTTTCCCCATTGCTTGTTTTTCTCAGGTTTGTCAAAGATCAGATGGTTGTAGATACGTGGCATTATTTCTGAGGGCTCTATTCTGTTCCATTTTTCTATATCTCTGTTTTGGTGTCAGTACCATGCTGTTTTGGTTACTGTAGCCTTGTAGTATAGTTTGAAGTCAGGTAGTGTGATGTCTCCAGCTTTGTTCTTTTGGCTTAGGATTGACTTGGCGATGCCAAGTTCCATATGAACTTTAAAGTAGTTTTTTCCAATTCTGTGAAGAAAGTCATTGGTAGCTTGATGGGGATGGCATTGAATCTATAAATTACCTTGGGCAGTATGGCCATTTTCATGATATTGATTCTTCCTACCCATGAGCATGGAATGTTCTTCCATTTGTTTGTATCCTCTTTTATTTCATTGAGCAGTGGTTTGTAGTTCTCCTTGAAGAGGTCCTTCACATCCCTTGTAAGTTGGATTTCTAGGTATTTTATTCTCTTTGAAGCAATTGTGAATGGGAGTTCACTTATGATTTGGCTGTTTGTCTGTTGTTGGTGTATAAGAATGCTTGTGATTTTTGTACTTTGATTTTGTATCCTGAGACCTTGCTGAAGTTGCTTATCAGCTTGAGAAGATTTTGGGCTGAGACAATGGGGTTTTCTAGATATACAATCATGTCATCTGCAAACAGGGACAATTTGACTTCCTCTTTTCCTAATTGAATACCCTTTATTTCCTTCTCCTGCCTGATTGCCCTGGCCAGAACTTCCAACACTATGTTGAATAGGAGTGGTGAGAGAGGGCATCCCTGTCTTGTGCCCGTTTTCAAAGGGAATGCTTCCAGTTTTTGCCCATTCAGTATGATATTGGCTGTGGGTTTGTCATAGATAGCTCTTATTATTTTGAGATACGTCCCATCAATACCTAATTTATTGAGAGTTTTTAGCATGAAGGGTTGTTGAATTTTTCAAAGGCCTTTTCTATATCTATTGAGATAATCATGTGGTTTTTGTCTTCGGTTCTGTTTATATGCTGGATTACATTTATTGATTTGCGTATGTTGAACCAGCCTTGGATCCCAGGGATGAAGCCCACTTGATCATGGTGGATAAGCTTTTTGATGTGCTGCTGGATTCGGTTTGCCAGTATTTTATTGAGGATTTTTGCATCGATGTTCATCAAGGATATTGGTCTAAAATTCTCTTTCTTGGTTGTGTCTCTGCCTAGCTTTGGTATCAGGATGATGCTGGCCTCATAAAATGAGTTAGGGAGGATTACCTCTTTTTCTATTGATTGGAATAGTTTCAGAAGGAATGGTACCAGTTCCTCTTTGTACCTCTGGTAGAATTCGGCTGTGAATCCATCTGGTCCTGGACTTTTTTTGGTTGGTAAGCTATTGATTATGGCCTCAATTTCAGAGCCTGTTATTGGTCTATTCAGAGATTCAACTTCTTCCTGGTTTAGTCTTGGGAGGATGTATGTGTTGAGGAATTTATCAATTTTTTCTAGATTTTCTAGTTTATTTGCATAGAGGTGTTTATAGTATTCTCTGGTGGTAGTTTGTATTTCTATGGGATTGGTGGTGATATCCCCTTTATCATTTTTTAGTGTGTCTATTTGATTCTTCTCTCTTTTCTTCTTTATTAGTCTTGCTAGCAGTCTATCAATTTTGTTGATCTTTTCAAAAAACCAGCTCCTGGATTCATTAATTTTTTGAAGGGTTTTTGTGTCTCTATTGCCTTCAGTTCTGCTCTGATCTTAGTTATTTCTTGCCTTCTGCTAGCTTTTGAATGTGTTTGCTCTTGCTTTTCTAGCTCTTTTAATTGTGATGTTAGGGTGTCAATTTTAGATATTTCCTGCTTTCTCTTGTGGGTATTTAGTGCTATAAATTTCCCTCTACACACTGCTTTGAATGTGTCCCAGAGATTCTGGTATGTTGTGTCTTTGTTCTCGTTGGTTTCAAAGAACATCTTTATTTCTGCCTTCATTTCGTTATGTACCCAGTAGTCATTCAGGAGCAGGTTGTTCAGTTTCCATGTAGTTGAGCGGTTTTGAGTGAGCTTCTTAATCTTGAGTTCTAGTTTGATTGCACTGTGGTCTGAGAGGCAGTTGGTTATAATTTCTGTTCTTTTACATTTGCTGTGGAGTGCTTTACTTCCAATTATGTGGTCAGTTTTGGAGTAGGTGTGGTGTGGTGCTGAAAAGAATGTATATTCTGTTGATTTGGGGTGGAGAGTTCTGTAGATGTCTATTAGGTCCGCTTGGTGCAGAGCTGAGTTCAATTCCTGGGTGTCCTTGTTAACTTTCTGTCTTGTTGATCTGTCTAATGTTGACAGTGGGGTGTTAAAGTCTCCCATTATTATTGTGTGGGAGTCTAAGTCTCTCTGTAGGTCTCTAAGGACTTGCTTTATGAATCTGGGTGCTCCTGTATTGGGTGCATATATATTTAGGATAGTCAGCTCTTCTTGTTGAATTGATCCCTTTACCATTATGTAATGGCCTTCTTTGTCTCCTTTGATCTTTGTTGGTTTAAAGTCTGTTTTATCAGAGACTAGGATTGCAACCTCTGCCTTTTTTGGTTTTCCATTTGCTTAGTAGATCTTCTTCCATCCCTGTATTTTGAGCCTATGTGTGTCTCTGCATGTGAGATGGGTTTCCTGAATATAGCACACTGATGGGTCTTGACTCTTTATGCAATTTGCCAGTCTGTGTCTTTTAATTGGAGCATTTAGCCCATTTACATTTAAAGTTAATATTGTTATGTGTGAATTTGATCCTGTCATTATGATGTTAGCTGGTTATTTTGCTCATTAGTTCATGCAGTTTCTTCCTAGCCTTGATGGTCTTTACATTTTGGCATGTTTTTGCAGTGGCTGGTACCGGTTGTTCCTTTCCATGTTTAGTGCTTCCTTCAGGAGCTCTTTTAGGGCAGGCCCGGTGGTGACAAAATCTCTCAGCATTTGCTTGTCTGTAAAGTATTTTATTTCTCCTTCACTTATGAAGCTTAGTTTGGCTGGATATGAGATTCTGGGTTGAAAATTGTTTTCTTTAAGAATGTTGAATATTGGTCCCCACTCTTTTCTGGCTTGTAGAGTTTCTGCAGAGAGATCAGCTGTTAGTCTGATGGGCTTCCCTTTGAGGGTAACCCGACCTTTCTCTCTGGCTGCCCTTGACATTTTTTCCGTCACTTCAACTTTGGTGAATCTGACAATTATGTGTCTTGGAGTTGCTCTTCTCGAGGAGTATCTTTGTGGCATTCTCTGTATTTCCTGAATTTGAATGTTGGCCTTCCTTGCTAGATTGGAGAAGTTCTCCTGGATAATATCCTGCAGAGTGTTTTCCAGCTTGGTTCCATTCTCCCCGTCACCTTCAGGTACATCAATCAGACGTAGATTTGTCTTTTCACATAGTCCCATATTTCTTGGAGGCTTTGTTCATTTCTTTTTATTCTTTTTTCTCTAAACTTCTCTTCTTGCTTCATTTCATTCATTTTGTCTTCCATCACTGATACCCTTTCTTCCAGTTGATCGCATTGGCTACTGAGGCTTGTGCGTTTGTCACATAGCTCTCGTGCCTTGGTTTTCAGCTCCATCAGGTCCTTTAAGGACTTCTCTGCCTTGGTTATTATAGTTATCCATTCGTCTAATTTTTTTTCAAAGCTTTTAACTTCTTTGCCATTGGTTCAAATTTCCTTCTGTAGCTCGGAGTAGTTTGATTATCTGAAGCCTTCTTCTCTCAACTCGTCAAAGTCATTCTCCGTCCAGCTTTGTTCCGTTGCTGGTGAGGAGCTGCGTTCCTTTGGAGGAGGAGAGGCACTCTGATTTTTAGAGTTTCCAGTTTTTCTGCTCTGTTTTTTTCCCATCTTTGTGGTTTTATTTACCTTTGGTCTTTGATGATGGTGACGTACAGATGGGTTTTTGGTGTGGATGTCCTTTCTGTTTGTTAGCTTTCCTTCTAACAGACAGGACCCTCAGCTGCAGGTCTGTTGGAGTTTGCTAGAGGTCCACTCCAGACCCTGTTTGCCTGGGTATCAGCAGTGGTGGCTGCAGAACAGCGGATATTGGTGAACTGCAGATGCTGCTGTCTGATCATTCCTCTGGAAGTTTTGTCTCAGAGGAGTACCTGGCTGTGTGAGGTGTCAGTCTGCCCCTACTGGGGGGTGCCTCTCAGTTAGGCTACTCAGGAGTCAGGGACCCACTTGAGGAGGCAGTCTGCCCATTCTCAGATCTCAAGCTGTGTGCTGGGAGAACCACTACTCTCTTCAAAGCTGTCAGAGAGGGACATTTAAGTTTGCAGAGGTTACTGCTGTCTTTTTGTTTGTCTGTGCCCTGCCCCCAGAGGTGGAGCCTACAGAGGCAGGCAGGCCTCCTTGAGGTGTGGTGGGCTCCACCCAGTTTGAGCTTCCTGGCCGCTTTTTTTACCTAATCAAACAACTAGCTCGGCAATGGCGGGCACCCCTCCCCTAGCCTCACTGCCGCCTTGCAGTTTGATCTCGGACTGCTGTGCTAGCAATGAGCGAGACTCTGGGCGTAGGACCCTCTGAGCCATGTGCAGGATATAATCTCCTGGTGTGCCATTTTTTAAGCCCGTTGGAAAAGCTCAGTATTAGGGTGGGAGTGACCCAATTTTCCAGATGCCGTCTGTCACCGCTTTCTTTGACTAGGAAAGGGAATTCCCTGACCCCTTGTGCTTCCCGGGTGAGGCGATGCCTCGCCCTGCTTCGGCTTGTGCACGGTGCGCTGCACCCACTGTTCTGCACCTACTGTCTGGCACTCCCCAGTGAGATGAACCCGGTACCTCAGTTGGAAATGCAGAAATCACCCGTCTTCTGTGTCGCTCACGCTGGGAGCTGTAGACTGGAGCTGTTCCTATTCGGCCATCTTGGCTCCTCCCCCCGCAAAAACATAATTTTTAAACCCTTCATTTAGAATGAAATAGGACCTCCTGGGGTAACTCCTTCCCCAGCCCAGAAATGGCACTACCATCTACCCAAGTGCTTGGCCCCAAAACCTAGAAGTCATTCATGATTCTTCTTTTTACATCACCATCATCCCCTTTCTCCAGCATATAATTCAACAGCAAGTTTCTTGACTTGACTCCTAAATGCCTCTTGAATCTGTCTTCACTCTCCATCTTCACTGCTAATCACTCTGTTTGTAGCCATAATAATCTCTCCCTTAGCAGTTTTAAAACATGGTCCCCAAATTCTTTAACACTTTTGGCATCAAGAGGTGGAGTTGATGTTCCTTCCCCCTTGAACCTGGGTGGGCCCAAGACTACTTTAACTAATTGCATATGGTGGAAGTGAAGCTATGTGACTTCTCTGAATAGATCATAAAAAGCTTCTTTTTGCTTCTCTTGGAACACTCACTTTGGATGCTCCCTATTGTAACTAAGCTGCCATGCTATGAGGAAGCCCAAGAGGCAGGCATGTTGGTATTCCAATTAACAGTTCCAGCTTAACTCCGCTAGTGCAGTTCCCACCCATTTAAATCATCTCAGCCATTTGAGACTTCCAACCTGAGGCTTCAGACATCATGAGCATAGATAAACCATGTCGATTGCACTCTTTCTGAATTCTTGACTCATAGATAATGACCATAATAAAATAATATTTTGTTTTTTTATTTAAAAATTTTTACAGTTTTCTCTATATGCCAGAAAGTTATAGTTTTAATGCTTCTGAATTTGGGGTAGTTTGTTACATGGTGATAGATAACCAGAATGCTCCTCTTGACTATTGGCATGCTCTCCCAACTTATTTCCCTCCTTCCACTAATATCTATTCTCCACACAGCAGCCAGAGGAATCTCTTGGAAATGTGAATCAGATAACATCACTCTGTCATGTGAAATTCTTTCAAACGTCTTACCTTGGTCTACTAGACTCATGTGTTCTGGTCCCTCTTCTCAGGTGCATGCTAGAAGTGAAACACTCATCTCTAGGGAAATCAGAGACTGACCAGGGGCAAATGATGTTGGACACAAAAATCACCTATTACAGCTCGGTTTCAGCTTCCCCATCTCAAGGGCCAAGGAAGCATCTCCTGTACTTGTGTGGGTTTTAGAACCCTGGTTTATAGACCCTAAACCCTCTGCAGATGGTCATGACCTTCCTGTACCTTTTTGGCTCTGTCTTATCTCTTGATTTCTGGCACTATGACATTTCCCTTTCTTTCTTTCAAGTGCAGCCATATTTTAAAAACAATATCAAGTGTTTCTATGTGTTTGTAACTGAAGGGAAGAGCTGCATCAACTTAACAGAACATGTTGCAAGAAGTCTGAAAACTCTATCTGTACATAATATGATCATCTACTTAAGAAAATCAGCTAAAAAGCAGTTGGAAGTTAGAGTGTTTGGCAAGTTGATCAGAGAGCAGAGCTGAGTACACTCATCTAAATTCATACTGTCCTGTAACTCCACTAAAACCACCAGTAAAGGGTTCCTTTTTTTGCTACAAATCCACAAGTTTGGGTAAAATGAGAGTGGAGACAATGGTATCATTTTGGAAGCTAGAAAGGAGATGGACAAGTGATAACATATGTAGCTGACCTGAGAAAGAAGACTCTGAAAGCAGCAGTGAAAAAACCCACCAACCAACCAAATTTACACTGCAGAATCCTCAAAGGCTCAGGGATTACTGGCATCAGAAACTCTCAGAACTGGAGATAGAGGTGGGAATAAAGAGGATTGGTGGAAATCTGTTTCAGAAACAGGAATGGGGAATTATTGCCTAATGAGTACAGAGTTTGTGTTTGGGGTGATGAAAAATTCTGGAAGTAAATAGTAGTGATGGTTGCACAACACTGTGAATATAATTCACACTACGATTAAAGTAGCAAATGTTATGTCATATATGTTTTACCACAATAAAAAAGAAGCAGTTAGACTCCTACATTTTCTCCCTCATTCCTTGCTGATGGGTTAGGAAGCCCTAACATCCTGGCCAAGATACAAGGGGTTTATTTTCTGGAGAGGTAAAAGAGAGTGTCCATAGATAGAGGACACCAGGCATAGTCAATGTTATGGGTACCATACTGAAAATAGGGAGACAAAATGACTGAATGCAAACTGGATGCTTAGACTCCGAGGCTTTCTCCTCTACTCTGTGCCCTCTTTGAATCCCAGAACACAGCCCTTTAACTTCCTAGCAGGAGATTAGAATAAATGTTTCTGGGGAATCTGAGTAGCTCAATAAGAAAGACTGAAGAGACTTACATTGAGGTTCCCTAGCAAATGGCCCAGCTGTATCACTTAACAGTGTAGTTCACAATCAACAAGTGCCACAATGAGCTCAGGACTTTCAATCAATGCTTTAGGTCCCCACTCTTAAATATAATTATCAGAGATTTGAGAATGTGAGAATGACTCTAATGTGAATGATTGAATACCAAACAAGCTAGTAGGCAGACAGAAAAAGGCAACAGGTAGGAAACAAGAATAGGACAGGAAAAAGGAAATAGGTAGGATAGCATCTGTGAAACAAGAACATGATGCTATCCAAAGAGAATGGACATTTAGAGAACAAAATAAACTTTTAGAAACTAAAATCATGGTAGTGGAAGTGGAAAACTCAATAGAAGGGTTAGAAGATAAAGCTAGGCAAATTTCTCAGATAGTATACCAGGAAGACAAGAAAAACACAAAGTAGAAGAGGAAAAAAAATATAGAGTTTCAATCTAAAATGCTCAACATCTGAATAATAAGAGTGTCAGAAGGATAAAACAAAGACAGTGAACAAGAGAAAATCATCAACGAAGTAATTTTAAAAAGTTTATAACTTAAGAACATGAAAACCCAACACTAACATTTATATTCTGAAATTTTAGAATGCTGTTGTATTAGTATGAGTTTTATACTGCTGTGTAATAAATTACCATAAACTTAAGTAGTTCAAATGGACATACATTTAGCATAGCATGGTTTCTATGGGTCAGGGGTTTAGACATAGTGTAACTGAGTCCTCTACTCAGGGTCTCATGAGGCTGCAATCCAGGCTTTGTTCCTATCTGGAGTTTGGGGTTCTCTTCCAATCTCATGTGATAATGTTGGCAAAACTCAGTTCCTTGTGGTTGTAGGACTGAGGTCCTTGCTTCCTTGCTGGCTGTCAGCTGGGAGCTACTCTCATCTCTCAGAGGTACCCTTGCCATATTGTGCTTTCATAGACCATCTCGCAACATGATAACTTAGTTTTAGTTTTTCAAAGTCTGCAGAAAAATCTCTCACTCCAGTCTAAGATGGAGTTTTATATAACATAAAATAATCACATGAGTGACTATCCCATCACCTTTGTTATAGAATGTAACCTAACCAAGGGAATGACTTTCCCATCACCTTTGGTATATTCTATTCACTAGAAGTAAGTCTCAGTTTCTGTCCTCAGATTACACATGAGTGTAACCCATTGAGGGTCATCTTAGAATTCTTCCTACTATAATTGGGACAAATGAAGCTCTTGTAAGCTTTCAGAGGGAAATAAATAGGTTAATATAAATGATCAGGCAGTTGAATGGTTCAGATTTCTCAACAGCAGTGTTGGAAGCTAGAAGACAATGGAGTGGTGCTATCAAAATTCCAAAGAGAAAGGATTTCCTACCTACAGTTCTATACCCAGCCAAACTATCTATTGAGCATGACAACAGGATATGAATATTGTTGAAAAAAAGCGTCTCAAATATTTACTTTCTACACATTCTTTCTCAAGAAGCTACTGGAGACTATGTTCCATAAATCAAAGTAGTAACTAATGAAAGGAAGACATCTGATTCAAGAAACAGGAAATAGAGAATCTTCAGCATAGCAGGGAAGGTACATCCTCCAAAGATCAACCTGAACAGATTAGAGCAGGTTAGAAGCCCTGGGGATCAAGATGAAATTGACAGACAGTTGAGATGAGTGAATGGGATGAGAAAAGATTTAGACAACTGGCAGAAGGATTTGTTTAAACTGATGGTAAGAACATAAAAATTAAAGTGATTGAAAAACTATTATTAACTTCAGATACAACAAAAAATTATTCAGGAAAAAAATAAAACCATAGTTTACTACATAGCTGAGCTCTGCATAACTGTGGGTTTATTACAGTGTAAATACTGAACATTAATCTAACCAAATTGATGACATAATTATACAGTTTTGAAAGGATGTTATTACAGGTTGAATTGTGTTCCCATAAAATATGTTGACGTCCTAATCCTCAATACCTGTGAATGTGACTTCATTTGAAAATAAGTTCTCTGCAGATGATCAAGTTAAGATGCGGCCTTTGGAGTAAGCTCCAGTTCAATATGACTGGTGCATTATAAAAAGGAGAAATCTGAATATATAGAGACAGAGACACAGTGAAAACATTGTTGTGAAGATTGGAGTTATGCTGCCATAGGCCAAGAAATGCCAAAGATTCCTAGCAAACCACCAGAAACTAAGAGAGAGGCATAGGACAGTTTTTTCCTCACAGTTTCAGAAGGAACCAACCTTGCTGACACCCTGACTTCAGAGTTCTAGTCCCCAGGACTGTGAGACAATACATTTCTGTTGTTTGTCACCTAGTTTGTGGCACTTTGTTATGGCATCCCTACAAACCTAACACAGGTGGGAAGTACGTGTGTGTTGGTGGGAGGCAGGGAAAGGGAGATGAAAGAGTCAACACTTCATCTTCCTGAGTGGGAAGTTAATACATATTTCCTACACACAAAATATCAAGAAATAGTAGTATATGCATGGCATTTAGAGCTACTGAGGTGAATACTTGCTGTGGATTGGGTATGGTTTATTTGTCCCCATCAAAGCATAATGGAAAATGGTGAGAGATGAAGCTGAATAGTGGGGCCGAAATCAGGTCACTAAAAAGCCATTCACTCAATGGGAGTTTGCTCTGTTTTATAGGAATGGGAGCCTTTGAAGGTTTTCAAGTGGCAGAGTGAGACAGAAGGTGATGTTTCTCTCATGGTATAAACAGATGGGTGATTTCTCAATACAAGATGTCCATTTCAATACAAGATGGACAGACAGGCTGTGTTACTGGCTTCAATTCTTCGGGCAGACCCTCTAAAGACCCTATCTTAATCAGCTTGGATTGCTACAACAAATTAGCATAGAATGGGTGGCTTCAACAACAGAAATTTACTTCTCACAGTTCTGGAGGCTGGGAAGTCCAAGATCAAGGCTCAGCAGGTCTGGTTCCTGGTAAGGGTTCTCTTACTGGTTTTAAGATTGAGACAGAGCTCCACCACTTCCTGATTGCTTGAAGAGGCATACCTTTTTTGAGCCTCCATTTCGTTATTTCTAAAATGGGGATAATAATATCTGTTCTACTCTCCTCACAAGCTTTTGTGAGGATCGGCTGAGATAATGCAACTGAAAGCAATTAATAAACTCTATTATTTTAGCCACAGTTTCTTGTTAGGTCTGTTCGGCCTGCATCCTCCCGCCCTTAAACTTTTTGGTTCACTGGGGCCAACACCTTCCCCTTGGCCATGCTCATTGGCTGAAGGATGGTCATATGACCTAAGCTGGCCAATAAGCCTTTTGCTGGTTATATTGAGGGGGAAAAAAAGTGCTCTTTCTCCTGGAAGCCATCTTGTCTCCAGGGAATAGGCAGTCTTGAGAATGAGAACAACACAGAGAAAAGCAGAGAGATGTTTAAAGACAAATTTCTGATGATGTCGTTTCAGCATCTGCATCAAATAATTCATTTTTTCATTCCACAACTAGTTATTAAGTTCCTCTTATAGTCCATAACAATTTCTGGATTCTTGGCATTTGGTGATAAATGAAAGAAAGACCCTACTCTCATGGTGCTTGCATTCCAGTGGGCAGCCCTGGCAATACACAAACACTAAATAAATGCATGATATAATGCCAGGTAGTAATAGATTCTAAGAAGAAAATTTACAGCAGAATAGGGGAAGACCGAGGTGAGGTGTTATTTAGATGGAATGGCTGAATCCACCTCTACCTCTGGATTTTTTAAACTTCATGAGCCAATAAAACCTCATTGAATTGTGGTGCTATCAGTCACCACCAACAGTCCTGATGAATACAGCTTTACAAATGTAAGGATTGGTAATGATGCTGATGATGATTATAATTATAATAGCAGCACAAAAGCCTCTTGAGAATGAATTGGATCATTCCTCCTGGGAATCCATGTCTAAGATATTTATGCCAGTGAAACAACCCAAGGATAGGAAATTATCAAACGATTCCCAAAAATATTCCTCATAGAATTAAGTGCATACAAGGGTCATTCCTCTGGATTCATCAGTTGTATCAATTCACTTGAAAGCCAGAAATTCAACTTAAAAATGCATTTTGAAAGTTGAAGACACTGAGCATCAAGTCAATCAAAGCATTCAGCTGGTCATCTGTGGCCACCTGGCTCTAGTGATATTAACAGGACTGACACCTATCGCTTATGTGGAGTTAGGGGACACTGTAAAAGCATTAGAAATGATGAAGTTAAAGAACATTCACAGCCACTAGTCACAGTCAGTTGACTTTCTGCAGTTCTTATAGGGTAGTTAGAGGCTAATAGTTTCAAACCCTGATGTTGCTCAGGGTTATTGATAGCCAGTCATCAAGGTTGAGCATGCAAATGTCCATTCATATCATCATTTCCACAGAGGTTTTCTAAGTTTGAGTCCTTTAATTTTAAATTCCTGACACTCAGGAAATATTCTAATGCTTTGTAACTTTATAACCACTCACCCCTACCCTCCCACCACCACCCTCTTTCTTTTCCTCTCTCTTCTGTAAAATTTTGGTGTGGTGATTAGTATTTCAGGGATGCACCAACCACGGGAGTTTTCTCAGCTTGAACTCTCAAAAGAACATTGAAACATCCTATATAGTTTTGATGCATAGAATGTACACCAAATAAAAAAAAATGTGAAACTGGAGCTTCCATTATTGTCCTCCTGAGCTGCCACGCCTACACTGTGAATAATATTTGTCTTACTCAGATTAAGACGTGCACAAGCCAAGATGAACCTACTCAAAAAATAAAACAAGTGCTTCCAGCCTTCCTGTACCTGCTGGAATTTTCTCATGTTTCCCTTCCACAAAATGCAACAATTGCTGAGATGCTGCTTCACCTGCTGGGAAAAGGTGTTCGTTATCCCTGAACAAGACAGAATGAGGACCCTTTCCAGAATGTCAAGCAGGTGTTGTCTTCTGTCACTGTGCTGGTTTGAAGTGTTGCACACCAGGACTGAAATGAGCTTTGCAAAGACAATATTCTGTCAGGAGTGCTATAATCATGGTTTTGGCTTATTTTTGCACCAGTATCTTGATTCCAAGAAACATTTATAATCTGCCAGATAAATGTATAGTTCAGCATTTCCCTAAAAATACTGGAACACTGAATGTTACATTTAAGAAAGAGTTCTATGGTCAGGCAAGTTTAAGAAACACTAGGTTAAAAAAAAAGTTTAGGCGATAATACACATTGGTTAAGCAGAACCTTATAAATGATAATGCACATTGTAAGTATATCAGAGCAAGGTATGACAGGGTTCCTAAATTTATTTTATCACAGATTTTTTTTTTAGGTGGGAACATCTATTAACACTCTACAGAGCACAGTGTGGGACAAATCAAATTATAGCAATATTCAGTAGAATTTTTTATCCCCAGACCTTGAGAATTCAATACAAATGAATAAATGAGACTGTTCGAACACACACAATGGAAAGAGATTAAAAGAGATAATACTCTGAATTTATAAGTATAATTAAACCTAACAAACTACACATTTTTAAAACAAACAGCTTCTCTGCTTATGAATTTCCAAGTTGCAAACTTTTATAGATAGAAACAACACAAAGCTACAAAACAAGATCACATTAACTCAGCCTCCCACCAAAGGTGGTGGTAGTTGCAGTGTGAGGTTCTTTTAGTCTGGACCATAGAGTCCTTTGTTGTACAGTCATGCACCAGATAACAGAGTTTCATGTAACAACAGGAAACAGGTGTGTCCCATAAGATATAAGACTGTATTTTTACTGTACCTTTTCTATGTTTAGGTACACAAATACCTACCACTGTGTGACAGTTGCCTACAGTATTTGGCATAGGAGCATGCGGTGCAGGCTTGTTGCCTAGGAGCAACAGGCTATACCATACAGCCTCTTGTGTGTGTAGTAGGCTAGGTGTGTAATAGGCTAGACCATTTAGGTTTGTGTAAGTGCACTCTGTGATGTTCACACAATGACAAAATCACCCAATGACACATTTCTCAGAATGTATCCCCGTGGTTAAGTGACACATAACTCTTAGTGGCAATCTTGCTGGGGTTCTATTTAGTTCCAAGGTATTTTGCAAACATTAATTTCATTGTATCCAGTGAATACAAACGCAGTGAACGTTTTAAATTGCTGAAATAAAAGGTGTGCAATTGTTATGGAATTGAAAGAAGAGAATTGTATGGAATTGAAAGATTGAAAGTGCTGAGAAAAATAATGCCTGTTGCTCTATGTGCTGTGAGTTTTCCAAAAGGAGGTGTGGTTCAGAAGGACAAAGCACTTAACTTGCAATGCGCTGTGCATACACCGTCCATGATACTCAGCAAGAGAGGAGGAAAAAGGACAAACACAAAAACTAGAGCAGAGCACTGCAAGATCCGCATCCAGATGGGCTACCTATCAGCCAGATACTCATTCAGGAGAGATCTGGGACATAGCTCAGTGACCTAAACGGCAGAATATGCTGAAGGTGCTGTTGCTGAACTGTTCATTCATTCGTTCACTCAGCACCTATTTTATTTTATTTTTTGGGACAGAGTCTCACTCTGTCGTTCAGGCTGGAGTGCAGTGGCGCAATCTCAGCTCACTGCAGCCTCCACCTCCTGGGTTCAAGCAGTTCTCCCTGCCTCAACCTCCCAAGTAGCTGGGATTACAGGTACCCACCACCTCACCCAGCTAATTTTTGTATTTTTTTAGTAGCGATGGGGTTTTGCCATGTGGCCAGGCTGGTCTTGAACTCCTGACCTCAGGTTATGCACCTGCCTCGGCCTCTCAGTGCTGGGATTACAGGCAGGAGCCACCATGCTC
This sequence comes from Homo sapiens, assembly GCF_000001405.40. Classification (NCBI taxonomy): domain Eukaryota; kingdom Metazoa; phylum Chordata; class Mammalia; order Primates; family Hominidae; genus Homo; species Homo sapiens. The sequence continues at coordinate 88,347,910 of NC_000015.10, read as the reverse complement.
AGCCACCTATTTTACTGAGTGTCCACTATGAGCCAAACATTGTGCTGGCTACGGGGAACACATTAGTGACTAAAACAGATATAGCTAGTCCCTGCCTGTAAGGAACTGATAGTCTATGGAAGAATGGGGGATGGAGGGAGCAGACAACAAACAAACAGAAATATAGAAGTGTAAACGCTGGTAAGTGCCATGAAAGAAACGAGACAAGGGCAGTGATAGAAGCAACTGAAGCAGAGGTTTGGTAGGTGGTGGTGTCAGGATGGTTCTTGGTTTCAGGTCTTTCAAATCTGCACAGGCCAGAGTGGGTGGGGGCATGGCACATTGCAGCTATCGTGGCAGCTGAGGCCCTCCATGGGCTGAGGGTGGGGGCAGGAGGGAATTACCTGGCTCCACAGATTTCCCCGCTACACTGATCTGATCTACTTTGGAGAAAAGAAGACCCATAAAATATTTATTAGCATAAAGAAGCAGCATCTGCTGGTTTTAAAGTTTCAAGGGACTTACACTCAGATTAAGTGGAAATACTCCTTGTTCCCTCCAGACTCACAAACAAATAGACTTACAAAGAACATAACTGTTCTTAAGTAGAGGAACTTCCGTGCTACCTAGCAAGAGTCTGGTGTTAGTTTTTAATTTCTTATCATTAAAGAACAGAGAAAATGTTTAATTGGATTTAGCTAAGAGAATTGTCTGCTCAGGCTTGATCTGGATTTTTTTTCCCTTATATTGTGCACCTAAGAGTCTCCTGAGCCTCTTCTTCCTACACTGATCTTGGCCCACACTGGTCTACATTTTCTGTGTCACAACCTTCTTTTGCAGACAACCCTGTCTTTATTTAATAATTTAATAGATCAAAATGTATTCAGCATTTACTCATTGTAAGGCTGTGTTTACTCAGATTGGGTTGGGATATGAGTAATAGAAGAATCCAAAATTAACAATGGCTTTAAAAGATAGAAGGTTATTTTTCTCTCAAATAAAAATTAGAAGATGTGTCGTCCAGGGAAAGTACAGCAGCTCTGCTCCACAAAATATTCAAGAAGTCAGGAGCTTTCTCCCTTGTGGTTCCACCAAGCATGACTCCTGTTTACCTCATGAGCCAGCAGGCTTGCTTGAACTCCAGTCATCAGTTCTGCATTCACAGACAGCAGGAAAAAGATAAGGGAGAAAAATCCTTTCAAGGAAACTTCCTGGAAGCTGCACTCACCACTTCCACTTACATCCTTTGGGCCAGGACTAGTCACTTACCTACACACAGCTGCAAGGAAGGTTGGGAATTTGTTTTCTATCAAAAATAAAAAGACGGGCCAGGTGCAATGGCTCACGCCTGTAATCCTAGCACTTTGGGAGGCTGAGGTGGGAGGATCATTTGAGACCAGGAGGTCGAAATCAGCCTGGGCAACATGTTGAAACCCCGTTTCTACAAAAACTACAAAAAATTAGTCCAGCATGGTGGCACATGCTTGTAGTCCCAGCTACTTGGGATGCTGAGGTAGGCAGATTGCTTGAGCCTGGGAGGCAGAGGTTGCAGTGAGCTGAGATCACGCTACTGCACTTCAGCCTGGGTGACCGAGTGAGACTCTGTTTGAAACAAACAAACAAACAAAAAAGTGGAAAGAAGTGCTGCCTCAGCCAACAAGCTCCACAGGTTATCTGTTACCGGTTTTATCTTCCGGTCTTCATGGCTCTGCTGAGCTCTTCATCATCATTATCCATAACTCAATTCCTTTTGAAGTTCTGCTGTCTGTGAGAAGCCAGATCTCTATCACCTCTGGAGGGAAAACACATTTTGATTTTGTCAGAGCTGAAAATTGCCCATTGGGCAAAAACCCAGACACTGGAAGACATCCTATGTACTACTAGAATTTGTCTAAATTGCAGCAGCTTATACAGTTACCATTTAACGTCTTCATGTTCACTATCTTGCAGATTGAAGTGTTAATATTTTTAGAGAGTTTGAGCAAGGGAGCAAGAAAAGGGTTAATTTTTATGAAAGAGCCATATTATGACATATATGAGCTTGGAAGCACTTTACTCACTTATGACCCTGCTATGCTGCTGTCCCCTAGAGTTTGTATGTTGAAATCCAATACCTAATATGACAGTATTAAGAGCTGGAGCCTTTTGGGGGTGATTAAGTCATGAGGGTTCCACCCTCTTCAGTGGGATTAGTAACCTTTTAAAAGAAGCTTGAGAGAGCTGCCTTCCTCCTTTACCATGTGAGGACACACAGAATGCACCAAGATGAGGAACAGGGACTCAACAGGCACAGAATCTGCTGGTGCCTTGATCTTGGATTTCCCAGCCTCTAGAACTGTGAGCATTACATCTCTGTTGTTTATAACTTACCCACTCTAAGGTGTTTTGTTATAGCAGCCTGAATAAACTTAGATGGACCTCCAAAAAATAATAATTGGCATGCAGAATATCATTCACTGAATTACTTTATTTAATATCTATTTCTTGAGCACCTACTATATGCCTGATGCTAGGCACTGGGCATACAGCAGAGAACAAGACAGTCAAAGTCCTCATGGTGCAAGTATTCTAGTGGTGGGGAGGGAAAGAATGAACAAGCGAACAAATTCAGAACATAATTTCAGTTAGTGAGTAAGGGGAGAGAATGACTGGGATGGGTGGGGAAACTATTCTAACAGGAGGTGACATGTTATTATTGATGAATGATAATAGTTAACTCTTATTTACACTTACCATGCAATAGGCATTATTCTAAGATTTTACATGCACTGGCTTATTTGATTTTCATAACTGTCCATCCACTCAGGCACACAGAGCTGGGGTTTGAGCCCAGGCAGGCTGGCTCCAGTGTTCTTGCTCTTAATGCTTCAAGATAAGATCTCCTGAGAGAATAAGCAGAAGACAGCCACATAAGGATCTGGAAAAGAACATTCCAGAAAATGGACTAAGCAAGGCTCAAGTTTCTGAGGCTGGCTGGCACCAATATGTTTGGAGATCCACAGGAATGCCAGCATGACTGGAGACTAGAGGTGAAGAGTGTGAGAAAGCCAGGCCGAGGTCTGCTGACGGGGCCAGAAGGCCAACCCAGTAGGGAATTGCCAGAGAGTCACAAGAAGGGACAGGTCTGCATAGCACCTTTTCTTCCTTATCACTCGGCCTCGCTCAGTGTGCCACTGCCCCCGAGATGCTCAGCCGCACTCAGCCACAAAATCACACAGGGCCGTCTGCTTTCCACTCAAGAGCCAGGTTATCTACAGAGAGGCCTTATGCCACACTGATGCAAACGTATTTATTATTACTACAGTTAAGAAGCATCACTGTTTTTTTCTTTTATAATCCCTCGCCTTTATAATAAGACTGAAAACTACGTGCTTTCGGGGTTCCTTGGAGGAAGAGCCCATGCTGCCTTCATCTCTGGGTAGGCAATGCCAGTGTCTCCGCATGGGGTTTTAAAGTATACTCCTGACAAGTGGGAGGAGGCACAAGCTCTGAGGGATCGAGTAGGCTGCCTTCATTGGCCCCTTCCGTTGGAGGTGTCAACATGGAAGTCCTCCCTGAAGCATGCCTCCTCAGGTGGGTTAATAATACCATGACCGTCCCTGGGTCAATGGCTGACTGAGGTCTGTGATTGATGTCAAGGGGTGTCTGCTATGGGTTTAATGTTTATGTGCCCCTAAGATCTGTACATCAAACCCTTTGATAGGGTTTGGATCTGTGTCCCTATCAAATCTCATGTCAAGAAGTAATCCCCAATGTTAAAGGTGGGGCCTGGTAGGAAGTGATTGGATCATGGGGGTGGTCCTCCATGAATGGTTTAGCACCATCTCCTGCTGCTGTTCTCATGAGATCTGGTTGTTTAAAAGTGGGTGGCTCCTCCTCCCCACCTTCCTCTTGCTCTGGCCATGTAAGATGTGCCTGCTTCCCCTTCCCTCATAATTGTAAGTTGCTGGAGGCCTCCCCAGAAGCAGAAGCCACTGTATCTTCTGTACAACCTGCAGAATCATGAGCCAATCAAACCTCTTTTCCTTATAAATTACTCAGTCTCAGTTATTTATTTATAGTGTGTGAGAATGGACTAATACACCCCTAAACCTCAATGTGATGGTATTTGGAGATGGGGCCTTAGGGAGATAATCAGGTTATCAGGTGGAGGCTTCACAACAAGATTATTGCCCTTATTAGAAGATATGTGAGAAGGTTTGCTTCCTCTCTCTGGCTTGTCTTTGCAGAAGTAGCTGAAAAAATGGGACAAGGCAAGAGATTTGATAAAAATCCTTGAAGGTTTTAAAATTCTTTGGGTGGTTGACTTTGCTTCACCTGTTGGTCTCTCAGTGGAGCCAACCGGTTGGACATGAGTGGTAATAACTAAAAGGTTTAGCCTAGCATGTGGAAAGTGAGGACTTACTACATTGTGAGGACGGACTGGCAATAACAGCAAATTCTCTGAGCCTGATGACCTGAATCTGAAAAAAAAAAAAAAAAAAAAAAAAAAAAAAAAAAGGCATCATATCTAGGCAACTCACAATCTCCTCTGATCCATGTGGAAGCATAGAAATTTATCTTCTTGCCAGCTTTGCACACATGGATAGAATACCAATTTTTAGAGATGAAAGGAACCTCATGGAGCAACTGGTCCTACATTATTCTCAACCAGTGTTTCCTAGCTGGCAAGCCAGATTTTTAGCACCTCATGCCTATTCTCCTCCCCATTCCCCATCCTCCTTGGTCCCAGTGGCTGTGTCTCTTTTTCTTATTCTGGGGTCAGTTGTAGAACGATTATAGGGTTGACCAGTTTTGCAGAACAATTTTGATGGGAACGCATTGATCTGGGGGTTTTGCATTTGAAGAACTGGGCTAGGAAAAAAGTAAAGTAACGTCTCCAAGATTGTATGGTGATAAGCAGAGGAACTGACCCTTAAACCCAGACATTTAATTTTATTTATTGGCTTAAAGTTCAAGTTGTTTCTAGTAAGCCAGTGTTTCCCAACCATGGCTGGGTCCCATGCCAGGGGTTCTGATTTAATTGGTTTGAGGCATAGCTGAGGCATCTGGATTTTCAGAATCTCCTCAAGTATTGTGGTGTGCAGTCACTGTTGAAAACCACAGCCACCCATGAGGTAAAACGAAAGGCTATGGGTAGCTCCAAGTGAGGTTAGAGGAACCTGGACTAGAAGCAAACTGGATTATAGGAGAAGATTATAGGATTATAGGAGATTACAGAAGAAAGGAATAGATCTGATATCTTTATGGAAGCCAACTGGGCCAATGAAGGAAATGGATATTGGTTTCTAAATGCAGACCGTGATGGGAAAAAGGCCACTGCTAACCCATAGTGCTTTCGTGCAAAAAAAAAAAAAAGAAAAAAAGAAAAAAAAATCTCCTCTAGGGAGACTCAGCCCTGCAGTTTCCAAGGTTGGCAAGAGGATGGTCACTGTGCTGTGAATGTAAAAAAGAACCCATGCTTTGGGAGGCTAAGGCAGGAGAATCGCTTGAGGTCAGGAGGTTGAGATCTGCCTGGGCAACACAGTGAGACTCTGTCTCTACAAAAAATTTAAAAAAAATTAGCCAGACGTGATGGCACATATCTATAGTCCTAGCTGCTCAGGAAGCTGAGGCAGGAGGATTATGGAAGCCCAGGAGTTCGAGGCTACAGTGAGCTTTGATTTCTGGCCACTGCACTCCAGCCTGGGTGACAGAATGGGACCCTGTCTCTAAAAATGAATGAATAAACGAATGCATGAACAGAACCTCCTCCACCTTGAAGCATTCGGCCCTGCACCAGGCACATGCCAGTGAGCAGAACGAGGACTGGATTTTGGTCTCCACCTGCCCCCTTGGATAGTTTTTCGTGTAGTGGACAACCTGCAGAAGCATTATGTCAGTCTAGGGTAAGGACGTCCAGCCAACTAGAAATTCCATGCACCTAGAAGATGAGTGTCTAATACCTTGACTTTCCTTACTGTTAAATTCATCTGCTGGGGGAGAGAGAGAGATGCAAATATGCTCTTACTACTCTAGTCCTTATACTGATAAGGAGAAATTGCTTGGTAACATACAAATGACTAGAGTTTTTGGGAAACTCCCATGCTATCTTAGGGTGGATAAGGCTGGGCATAATCAGACATGCTTCCCAACCCTTAAGAAGGTAGATCTTAGTAGAACTTTAAAAAAAGGTGTCCAAGTCATAGCATGAAACTTATGAAATAACATGGCTCAAGGGAACTGGAAGATTGTCAAAAATATAACTCTTAAAATAATTTTTCTTGTTACGAAAGTGATCCAAACTAATTGCAAAAAATGTAGAAAATAGAAATGAGCCAAAAGAGGAAAAGAGTCACTTGAAATTTTACTACTCAGAAATAACCACTCACAGTTTTCTGTTTATCCTATCAGTCTCTTTTCTATGCTTATAGATACATTTAGGATACATTTATATATACTGCAAAATGGATTGTATGTATAGACTTTTTTGATCTGCTTTTAAACTTAATAACATTCCATAAATATTTTCCATGTAATTAGCTATTCCCCAACCTTGTTATTTTAACAGTTGCATGGTAACCCATTTAATAATACTGTAAGAATTTATGTAATTCATCCTTATTTTGGAATTTACATTGTTTTCATTTTTTATTTTTATGAATAGTGTTCGATGAACATTCTTTGAGTTTCATCTCTTACCACATGTATTAGTCGGGGTTCTCCAGAGAAACATAACCAGTAGGATATATATAGATAGATAGATAAGAAAAGATTTATTATAGGAGTTGGCTCACGTGATTATGGAGGCTGAGAAGTCCCACGGCATGCCGTCTGCAAGCTAGAGAACCAGGAAAGCCAGTGGTGCAGTTCAATCTGAGTCCCAAGGCCTGAGAACAGTTTACATGGGAGGGGTTTTGATGTCTGGAGTCTGATGGCCTGAGAATCAGGGGCTGTGATGTCCCAAGGCAGTAGAAGATGTCCCAGTTCCATAGGAGGGAGCAAATTCACCCTTCCTCTGCCTTTTTGTTCTGCTGAGGCCCTCCCACATTGTGTGAGGGTGGATCTTCTTACTCAGTCTGCTGATTCCAGTGCTAATCTCTTCCAGAAACGCTCTCACAGACAGAACCAGAAATCACGTTTCATACACTATCTGGGCATCCCTTAGCCTAGTCAAGTTGATGTATAATATTAACCATCATGATAGCACTATAGGGTGAATATAATTGACAATAATTTACTGTATCTTTTTAAATAGCTCTAAGGGTGGATTTTGGATGTTCCCGATACAAAGATATGATAAGTGAGGTGATGGATATGCTAATTACCCTAGGATGATCATTACACATTGTATACATGTATCAAAATATCACACTGTACCCCATAAATATGTACAATTATTATATTAATTAAAAATAATAGTAAAAGCCTGGTCGAGGTAGCTCACGCCTATAATCCCAGCACTTTGGGAGGCTGAGGTGGGCAGACCGCTTGAGTCCAGGAGTTCGAGACCAGTCTGGGCAACATGGCAAAAATCCATCTCTACAAAAAATACAAAAATTAGCTGGGCGTGGTGATGAACTCCTGTACTCTCAGCTACTTGGGAGGCTGAGGATCACCTGAGCCCAGGAGGCAGAGGTTGCAGGGAGCTGAGATCATGCCACTGCACTCCAGCCTGGGCAATAGAGTGGGACCCTGTGTCAAAATAATAATAATAATAAAAGCAAAAAATTAACCATCAAACCACATTCCTGAATGAATTCTTAGAGGTGGACATGAAGGTCAAACACTTCTTGCCAAATGGCTCAACGGCAAGATTGTATCATTTTCTACTTCCATCAGCAGTGGATGAGAATGCAGGTTTCTTGGAAGACCCTCCAGCTAGGCAGCGAGGGTCAGAACAATATCTCTGATTTAGCGATTCTTCAACTCTAAATGAGGTTTGTGAGGCAAGGACAGGGGTTGAGACCTTGAAAATAGGCAGTCCCAGGCTGATGAAAATGTGGAGAAAAGGAAATCCTCGTACACTGTCAGTGGGAATGTAAATTAGTACAGCCACTGTGGAGAACAGTATGGAGGTTCCTCAAAAAACTAAAACTAGAACTTCCATATGATCCAGCAATTCCACTTCTGTGTATATATATTTTTAAAAGTGAATCAATGTATCAAAATGACCTCTGCACGTCCATGTTTATTGCACCACTATTTACAATTGCCAAAATATGGAGTCAGCTTAAGTGCTCATCAAAGGATGAATGCATAAAGGGAATGTGGTACATATACACAATGGAATACTATTCAGCAATAAAGGGGAATCAATTCCTGTCACTTTCAGCAAGGTGAATGGAACTGGAGGCTATTTAAAGGGAAAAAGAAGGGAAGAACCCAGCGTCCTTCTCACTGGCAGTGTGTCTAATGCCTCCCAGCCCTCAGGGATTGCTCATTGCGTCCCTCCAGGCTCTTCTTAGTCCTTTACAGAAGCAAGTCCACCCCACCCCATCCCTCCCACTGTGCTCAAGCAGTGTCAGGCAGCCAGGTGCATGCAGTGAGAACACCTATGAACAGGAAGCCTGGAATGAACTCTGTGCAGTGTGGTGGGAAAATGCAATGCAGGCTCAGTTCCTCTGGGCCAGTGGGGTCAGCACAGGGCAGACAAATATCTTTCTTGAAACCTTATTGTGTGAGAACAGCCTCCAGGAATCAGCTCTTTGGGTCTGCCCCTTTTCTTTTCTTTTTTTGAAATAGAAGTTTTCCATTTTATCCAAATTAAGTTTTCTTTATTGATGCATAATAGATGTACATAGTTTCAGGTACATGTGATAATTTAGTACATTGATATAACTTGTAACGATCAAATAATTGTACTTGAGATATTCATCACCTTAAATATTTTTATCTTTTCTTTATGCTGGAACTGTTCAAATTATTCTCTTCTACCTATTTTGAAATGTACAATAGATTATTATAAATTATAGTCAGCCAACTGATCTAACGCCAGGTCTTATTCCTTCTCTCAAACCATATATTTGTACCCATTAATCAGCTTCTCTTCACCCCTCTCCCACCTAACATTCCTGGCTTCTGGTAACGACCAATCTACTCTTCATCTAAATGAGATTCACTTTTTAATTCCCACATATGAGTGAGAACATGCAATATTTGTCTTTCTGTGTTCAGTTTATTTCACTTAACATAGTAGCCTCCAGACAGAAACCTGAAGACCACTGGTATTTCAGGGGCAGGTGGCAGAAAAGAAACCTTCAAAGGGAACAGAGAAGGAACTGCTCGAGGGGCAGGCTCAGGATAAAAACAGCAAGAGAAAGATGCTCTGGAAAGAGCGAAGACAGTTTTAAGGAGAAAGAGGAGGCTGACAGTGTCAAAGGGTTGAGGTTTAGGTTAGGGTTAGGTCAGTGTTAAATAAAGGTGAAGCACAGCAGGCTGAGCATCAACAACATTGATAAGATCCAAGGCTTCCAGCTTATAGGCCAATGTTCTCTCCCTATCCTCTGCTTCTCTCCTGTGATCCCATTCAGAATCTCAGGGGAGAGAGGATTCATCCATTGCAAAGAGCCCCTGTTTGTTTGCCACAGGGCCCATTTTAAGCAAATTTGTAATATGAAAATAGGAAACTGCAAGTGTTAATAGTTGCTGGGCTGAGACTGCATGATTGATGATTGCCCTTAATCCTCTACCCCTGCCTGTATCCATGCCCTTTGCTGGGCATCTCTGTAATTCCTTCCACAAGAGGGCAAGTGTATTTCCCTGCTCCTTGTCTTTTGGCTAAGCCACCTGACTTGCTTTAGCTGGCTAGATATTAGTAGATGTGATGCAAGCAGGAGCTTGGGTGGCCTTGTGCAGTTGGTCTTGCTCTCTTGAACGTCTGTCATTGCCCTGAAAAAAACCTGCCTGCTGGCTCACTGGTCCCTGGTGGATGAGGGCTGTATGGAGCAGAGCCATCCCTAGCCACCTGCAAACTCATGAGGGAGAATTTGACATGCTTGTTACCGTATGCCACTGAGACTTTGAGGTTCTTTGTTTCAGAGCAAGCATTTGAGTTTTCCACTATTCATTTAATAAAGCTCTGGTGGCTTCACAAAAGCTTTAATCTGTCCTACCTTTCTTGATTCTCACCTTGGTGTCCCCTTTCCTGACTCCCTGCTGGGACGTGGTTCATCTCTTGCAGTCACAGCTCTCCTAGATCCCGGGGCCTGATCTGGGGCAGGACGGATTGAAACAGCTCCAGCCCCTCCTCCCATTGCCTAACTCCATTCACTTGGGAGGCCAGTCCAGCATGATCAGCACTCAAGTATGAATGTGGTGTTTCTTACTTATACCTGAGCCCAGTATCAATCAGGTGCCCTTCCATTCTAACATTCTAATTCACATGAATTAAATAATTTGTTATATATATATATATATATATATTTTTTTTTTTTTTTTTTTTTTTTTTTTTTGAGATGGAGTCTCGCTCTGTCACCCAGGCTGGAGTGCGGTGGTGTGATCTCAGCTCACTGCAACCTCTGTCTCCTGGGTTCAAGCGATTCTCCTGTCTCAGCCTCCTGAGTAGCTGGGATTACAGGTGTGCACCACCACGCCTAGCTAATTTTTCTATTTTTAGTACAGATGGGGTTTCACCATGTAGACCAGGCTGGTCTTGAACTCCTGACCTCAGGTGATCTGCCCAGCTCGACCTCCCAAAGTTCTGGGATTACAGTGTGAGCCACCATGCCTGGCCTACTCAACATATTTTATTGGACAGCTACTATATGCCAGTCTTTTAAAAGCGAACTCTCCTTTTTTTTAAAAAAAAAAAAGAAAAGAAAATACTTGGTTGTTTTCATGTAAATCACCCCGTGCAGTGCCTGATATGTCATTGGTGATCCCCTGATGGCAAACACATTGTTATTTTAGAAAATAGTGTAATAAAATCTTTTTGCATAAATCTTGGTTTCCATTTTTAAAAACTTCTTGTATTTTTAATGATAAAAGTAATGCATGTTTTAACATACTAAAATATCAAATTACATTTAAATTTTAAATTAATTGACAGGAGCTTGTTTTTCATATCTCCCAGGGAACTGTCTATTGGGTAAAATGAGGCTCAGTTTTGTATTATATGCTTAGCACTGGGCCTGGCACAGGGTAAACTCTCAATTTAGCGAGTGGAGCGAGGCTGCCACTGTGCAAGTCCAGGTTGGCTGGAACTCCTGCCAGGAACACTGAAATGGCCTCCTAACTGGTCTCCCCTCCTCCAGCCTCTCCGTGCACTGGCTGATTAATTAATTCAAGCCTGATTAATTAAAGTGCATTTCTGATCCTGTCTCTTGATGCTCCAAGCCCTTCTGTGGCTCCCCATTGCCTTACTGACTCTTTCTTTCTTTTCTTTTCCTTTTTTTTTTTTTTTTGAGACAGAGTCTTGCTCTGTCACCAGGCTGGAGCACAGTGGCACAATCTCAGCTCACTGCAACCTCCGCCTCCCAGGTTCAAGTGTTTCTCCTGCCTCAGCCTCCCAAGTAGCTGGGACTACAGGCGTGGGCCACCACATCCAGCTAATTTTTGTATTTTTAATAGAGAGGGGGGTTTCACCATGTTGGCCAGGATGGTCTCAATCTCCTGACCTCGTGATCCACCTGCCTTGGCCTCCCAAAGTGCTAGGATTACAGGTGTGAGCCACTGCACCTGGCCTTTACTGACTCTTTCTAACTTGCTTTAAGGCTCATAAACATCTAACCTGAAACGACTTTTTCAGCCATTTTCTCTTACTCCTCCTCATGAATGCTGTACACACGAAGCGCACAGTTCCTTGAACACACCCCTTACTTTGCACCTTCTAGGTCTTGCTTAAGTTCTCTCCTGTGCTGGTAATTCTTCTCCCTCATCCTCATGCGTCCACATCCTCCCCATTTGTGTGATCTTCTTAAATACCTCTTCTCCATGAACCCTCTTCTGATTTCTTTAACTGGAATTAACCATGCTTTCCTCTGCATGCCTTACTGCAATCCTTTCTTTGGATCAGGGTTTCTCCAGCTCAGCTCTATTGAGATTTGTGGGCTGGGTAATTCCTGGTTGTGGGGAGCTGTCCTGCACTGTTTAGGATGTTTAGCACCATCACTGGCCTCTACCTACTAGAGGCCAGTAGCACCCCCTCCACCCAGTTGTGACAACCAACAATGTCTGCAGACATTGGCCTAAGTGTGCTGGGAGGCAGAACTGCCTCCTCTCAAAAACTGGTCTAGAGTAAAAATTATGCAATAAATCCCCTGCCACACTCGGGGTTTGCATCTTGCTTAGGAGGATGCTACCTAAGCACCAGGCCCTTTTAAGCCTCCAAGCCTCTGTTCATGCTGTTCCCTCTCCCAGGAATGCCCTTCCCCTCCCTCCTTCATCTGATGATTTCCTCCGTAGCCTTCAAGGCCTGGATGATATGCCATCTCCTCTTGTCACCTTTCCCAATCTGCCTTCTCTTCCCCAGGCAGAATGGATGGCCCTGCTCCCTGAGTTCCCACAGCACTTTGCACAAACCTCAGTCACAGCCCTCACCAGACCATGTGCCATGTTATACAAAAACAGTTGAAATAATTGTGTCCCCAGGTAGAATGTGAGTTGTGGTGTGGCAAGGACCTTGTCTGGCTGAGGCCTCTCCAGGTGCGGCAGGGCCCTGTACCACCTCCTATTGGTATAAGATGATAAAGCAAAAGGCAGTGCACAGGAGTGGTTATGCATATCTAGAAGTTCTGGAACAACAGTGCCTGGGTTCATGCTCATCCCTCTGCTCAACTCTCAGAAGCATTTACTAGTTGTGTGATTTTTGGGTGATACATTAAACTCTGGAGGTTTAATTTCCCTCTCTGTAAAAATGACATTGTAATAGCATCTACTTTACTGGATTATTTCAAGGATTTAGTATATTAATACATAGAAAATGGTTGCCAGGTGCCTGGTACACAGTAAATGCTTGGTAAATCTTGATAATTAATGGAGAATGAATGAATGGGTATGTTGAGCTGGGTGATGAGGGAACACAGATCTCACAGGCTGTTATACCAACTCTGTAACAAGGGTGCTATCCTTGAGACCGAAGCCTCTGCCCCTCTCCTGCCCCTTCCAGCTGTCCTCACCCCATCCTCCCCAGCCTGGGCAGTGGGCACCGGCTGCTCAGGGAGTGAGAGCTGTGGGCTCGCTTCACAGTGAGGTAGCCAGGCTGGGCGGAACAAGGGCAGACATTAAAAACCTATTTTCTCACTGGGCATAAGTAATTGGCAAAAAATCTCTAAATCCATAGCTGCCAGGTGAAGTCATTTCCGAGAGAAAAGGATGGAGGGAGAGAGCAGGAGGAGGGCATGGGTGGGAGCCAGAGGGAGAGAGCAAAATGCAAAACCAGGAGCTGGTGAGGCCAGGACAGAAGCCTTCTCCTTTCCTCTTCCAGACCAGGCTGTTCTCCTCACTTCCAACCCACCCTCATTTATTGTTTTCTTTTCTGGAAAGAGGCTTCTAAGGTGGTAAAAGCAAAGAAAGTCGTCCATGGGATTATTTAATGAGTCAGAATGAATTGCATTGAAAATCCTTTAAATGGGATCTGGGAGCATTTAACTGCAGCTTGGGATCTTAACTAGAGTGGGAAAGGATCTTTGTGCTAATTGCTGGCAATAATATTCGTACAGAGAGGGAGAGATAGCAGCGACCAATTGGTAGACAGAGGGGTAGTTTCAGGGTCTGGCCCACTTGGCTATGAGACTGAGCACCTTGGTGCAGCCATCTGGGGAGTCCAAGACCCCCAGCAGGAGACAGGCAAGGCTTGGGCCCCACAGGGAGGGGAAACTGTGGGGGTGAGATGAGGTGAGGTGAGAGTGGCAGGGGAGACCCGACCTGGGCTTCCAGGAGTGGAGGCAGGGCATAGCATCCTTCCGAAGGATCAGCATTCCCAGGAGGAACATAAGATGAAGCTTCTAGCCTTGCATTTGTTCTAACCCCACCATCCAGAATGCAAACTTTGGACAGGCAGAAAACTTTACCTAAAGCCCAAGTGAGAGAGCAGAGACCCCCACTTTACCCATTTCAGTTTTTTCTATTCCGTTCCACTCACTGAACCTGGAGATCCCGCTGTTCGTTTCACTTTTTTTTTCTTTTTCTTTCTTTTTTTTTTTTTTTTTTTGAGATGGAGTCTCGCTCTGTCGCCCAGGCTAGAGTGCAGTGGTGTGATCTTGGCTTACTGCAACCTCTGGCTCCCAAGTTCAAGCAATTCTTATGCCTCAGCCTCCAGAGAAGCTGGAATTACAAGCATGCGCAACCACACCCAGCTAATTTTTGTATTTTTAGTAGAGATGAGGTTTCACCATGTTGACCAGGCTGGTCACAAATTCCTGGCCTCAAGTGATCCACCCACCTCGGCCTCCCAAAGTGCTGGGATTACAGGTGTGAGCCACCGTGCCTGGCCTCATTTCACCTTTAATCATCACTTTTGGCAGGGAGTGTAGGATCCTGTTCCTTAGCTTTTTGATGCACATATAACCCTGGGAAGGTATTATTAGCTCCAGTTTGCAGATGAGAAAACTAAGACCTTCAATTGGGACTTAGTTGAGGAAACATAGTTGATGAGTGACAGAAGGTGACCTAAGACCCAAGGTGTGTCCTGAACACACATCAACTAGTAGTCATTGCTTGTTATGGTGATGTTCAGATAAATGTGAAGGACAATGTCTTCTTGTCTTCCAGGATGAGTCTACAAGGCTCATACCCTAGAATCACAAATAATTATAAAAGATTAAAATGCTAACTTCCACATGAAAGATACAAGTGAAAGCCAGAGGAGAGAAGGGTTACTTCTGAATGGGTGGCCAGCAGAGGCGTCACCTTGAATATGGGTAAAATTGGGGCATGTGGGGATCTGGAAGAGAGAGACGGTAACAGAGGGCATTATTTGAACAAAGACAGGGAGGTGGGAAAGCATGAGACAAGTATTGGGAGACATCACATGTTTCTATATGTCTGGAGAGTAGGAAGAACTAGGGAAAGAGTTGGGGTCAGATAATAGAGAGTTTTGCTGATAGATTGAGTTTGAATCTCATTGTGCAGGCAGTGGGGATCTATGGATGGTTTTTGAGCTGGGGAGTAGCTGCAGTAGATGATTAATTTGGCAGTGGTGTGGAGAAAGGGCTGGAGTAGAAATAGGATGACTGCTGGAACCAGTTGGAAGTTATCATAGTACCCTACCGAAAAGGCAGTAAGTGTCTGGATGGGGCAATGGCTGTGAGATGGACAGAAGACAACCTTCTCTCTCCGTCCATCTCCATCCTTCACTCTGCCCTCAGCACCATGATGGCTGTCATGAGTGTGCTCTGAGGTCCTCAGCAGTAGTTGGACCTCAGCCTGGGTTGGAAACACAGGTCATGTACTACATGTGCATAAAATGTGGGACACAAAGCTGGTGTGGCCAGGAGGTCATCTGGTCATCAAGACCAGTCCTTGCCCTTGGCAGATGACAACCCAAACCACCCAAGACCATGTTCACTTACCCTGCATTATAACCCCCCAATCTCTCTTCTCTGGGAGGTCTGCCTTCAATCATCCTGACAGTCTAGAAAGCCTGCCCTAAGCACTTCCTCAAGTTTGAGCAGGAGCATTTTCTAACTGAGCTATTGGCAGAGGGGAAGTTGGCCTCACTAGTGTGGTTGGGACTCATCCCTGGAGTAAGGTGAATAGACCAGACCTGTTGGAGCTGGCTTTGATTCAAGTGTGGGAACAGGCGGTTGGACCTCATGAGCTTTAAGTTGCTTTCCATGCTGATTCCTAAATTTCCCTCATTGTGCTGTGGGTTCCTTTCATTCTATGCTCTGTGCCGCCTCTTTCACAGCCACCTTGTGCCTCCTGAAGGATCTGCTTCCTAGGAGAGTTGCCTGTAGAGAGATCTGAGCCTACCTTGAAGGCAGGGCATGTGTCTTGTACATATGCCCTGTAAGACTAGCAGGAGGCATGATAGAGAGAAATTTATTATTAATACAAACATAGTATTTTGCTATTATTACTAATGCTAGTAATTATTGTTAAAATTACCATTACACTTACTATGATCTGAGTATTTCAATACATTATTTGTAATCTCAAGCAAACCTGCAAGGGAGGTATCATTACTACCATTTTCAAATGAGTAAAGTGAGACTCAGGCCAAGTCACTTGTCCTCTGTGCTGCAGCTAGAAGGGGAGGCATCACGACTTTCTCCCAGGCTGGGCAGCTCTGAAGCTCTCTCCCTCTCTCTCTTTTTTAGGTGGAATTGGATGATCATAATCATGTTTCCAAATATCATCTCATGACTGGAAGAATAATAATAGCAAACCATATTGAGTGTGCTAAACTAGGGTTATTGTCCATCTGAAGGTCCCCAAAAGGATTTATGGCACAAGGGGAAGTTTGTTTATTGTTCTAATTCTGCTGATCATGCAGCTTTCCACAGCTCTAGGCCAATGGATTGGGGTGGGAGGGCCCACATTTAGTTTCTTGGGTAGACAAAGAGGTCGCTGAGAAAATGCTATCGCTCGGGGGTCTTCCGGCCCATAGATGGCGCTGTTGGACCCTGGGAAGTCCCACGGCCCAGTTGCGGAGGGATGGAGGTAGCGTTGTGGTGCAGTCCCAGCTCTGCTCTGTTAAAGGGAAGGCACAGATCTGTTTGTAAGAATGCACCTTGGAAGCAGCCTAAATGACCACCAAGATGGGCCTGGTTAAATAAATTATGATACGTCCATATATTGGAATGCCATGTAGCCATTAAAAATTTTGACATAGATTTATGTTGGTTGATATAGAAAGATATCTCACAATGTATTTTGTCGAGGGAAAAGCATGCCTCGGGACATTTCATATATATAGCATTATCCCAAAGATATTAAATTGTGTGAGACAGAGACAGAGACAGATAGCAAGCCGGATGTTCACCAAAACTATGAACAGCGTAGATCTTTAGGTTGGTGAGATTTCAAATGATTTTTACTTTAACCTTATCTGTAATGTGGGGGTTTTAAAAATAAAAAAGCATGTCTTATCTTTACAATAGGGAAAAATCAGATTGGTTTCCATTTGAAAATGTATAAACCAAACCAAACTGAATGTCTCTCTAACTCTCCCTGAAAAAAGTCTCTTTCAGAGTGTAGCCACCTCTGATGTCTCATCTGTGTTAGTGACTAGTTATTCCCTCTTCAAGGAGTGGAGACATTTGTCACCAGTGTTAGAGAAAAGCCCTAGGAGGCTTTTCCTGGGGCAGTTCCAGGGCACGTTTCACAGCTCAGGCACGGGGTGTGATCCCGGTCCTTCCCACCCTGTCTCAGCGACACCCATCGCCCCCTCCCCAGCCTCCACTTTCCATTCTCTCCTTCCACGCCTTCACCCTCTTTCTGGTGTCTCCAGAAGCTTTCATATCCACACATTCTATTCAGCAGCGAGTCCCTGAACTTTCTAATTGAGATCAGAGATAAATATAGTGGGGAACGCAGGAGGGAGAGGGAGGAGGCCTAGTTTTAATTTGCAGCACTTCCCATTAATAACAAATTCTAATTAAAAAGTCTCTGTCTTCCAGCCTCAGTCCAAGGGAAATGTGTCCCCAGGTCTGTCTGGCTGGAATCTTTGTGACAGTGAGTTCGGGGTGCAGATTTCTGTACTAGCTGAGCCCTGTCTGTCAGAAGCCATAATTAAGCTGGAAAAAAAAAAGGATGTCATCTAAGACCATAGGGATCTTCTCTTGCTGCAGTCCTAAAATGAGGCCATATGCCTTCCTTGGACAGAGGTGCTTCTGGGCTATTCCTCGTAGAGGGGGTGGCCAGCCTGGGTGTGCAATGAGGCAGATGTTCAGTGGCTGGGGAGTGTTTTTGGAGTTGCAGGAGCTAAGCGTTTTTGGAGCGCAGGAGCTCCTAGTAGAAGCGGGGAGCCTTAAGGGAGAGCCTTCTCTGCATCATCTGCAGGGCGTCTGCCTCGTCTTTGCCTTTTCTCTTCACCCAGAATTTTCTCAGTGAAGACTGCCTGATTCTTTGGTGTGTGAGCCTCTGTGTTTGTGTGTGTGTGTGTAGACGGGGTGCTCGTGCTGCTGACAGAGAAGTGAAGGCTATTAACAGTCTAAGATAGTAGGACGTGCCACTTAGTATTGATCTAAATACAAGTTTATTTTTTTTCACCAGGAACATTTTGATTCCTTGCTGAACTGAAGTAGGCACTCAGTAAATGGCTATGAATAAATGAAGGAGCGAGTGAACAAAAGGGTCCACCCTGAACTTTCAGTCTCTTATAGCCACCCGCTTACTTAGCACCTCCTCTTGGAGGTTGAATCCTTAGAAAACTAATGCAGGAACAGAAAATCAAATACCACATGTTCTCACTTACAAGTGGGAACTGAATGATGAGGCATCTCAGACTTAAGGTGTCCAAGGTCATAGGCGTGGTCCAAGGTCATGTTGCTCAGAACTTGCAGTTGCTCAGACAAGAAATCCATCAAGTGATTCCTTCCTCTCTTGGTTATAACATCCCTGACTCTACTCTTTCTCTCACATGCTGCATCCCTCATCCATGCAGCATTCCTGTTGGCTCGACCTTGAAAATATATCCAGAGTCCAGCGGGATTCTCTGCACCTCTGCTGCTGGGACTGTGGTCGGAATCCCCATTGTCTCTCTTGTGTTTGATTTCAGAAGCTTTCAAACTGTTCTGCCTGCTTCCACTCTTGTCCACTAAAGTCCATTCTAAACCCAGCAGCCAGGGGGTCCACTTACCGCCTTAGTGAGATGACCTCCCTCCTCTGCTCCGATGCCTCCACTGACTTCCCTTCTTGCTCAGAGTGGAACCCCAAAGCCTTGCGGAGGCCTCAAGCACTGCAGGGCCTGGCCCTTTTAAACCTCGACCTCACCTCCTGCTACTCTCCCCTTGGTCCTTCTGCTCCAGCCAGTTGGTCTCTCTGCTACTCCTTGACTGTGCCAGCCATAGCCCTGCCTCAGGGTCTTTCTTCCTCTGCTTGAAAGCCTCTTCCTCCAGGTGCCCACATGGCTCAATCCTGCACCTCCGAGAGGCTGCTTTCCCAGCAAGGCCACTCTGACCACCCTACTTAAAACTGCAACCCTGCCCCCTCCAGCACGTGATTTCTTCCCTGCCTGGTTATTTTTTTCATAGCACTTGCCACTTTTAATATTTTTTATTTTATTTTCTTTTTCTTTTTTCTTTCTTTTTTTTTCTTTGAGACAGAGTCTCATGTTCAAGCTAGAGTGCAGTGGTGCGAGCTCAGCTCACCACAACTCTGCCTCCTGGGTTCAAGTGATTCTCCTGCCTTAGCCTCTGGAGTAGCTGGGATTGCAGGTGTGAGCCACCACACCCAGCTAATTTTTGTATTAGCTGACGTTTTGCGATGTTGGCCAGGCTGGTCTCAAAGCCCTGACCTCAGGTGATCTGCCCGCCTCAGCCTCCCAGAGTGCTAGGATTACAAGAGTGAGCCACGGCACCTGGCCCTAATTCTTTTCCTTATTTGTTTTATTTATGCCTCTCTCCCTTTCCTCTATCCTGCTAAAAGGCAGGGTCCAGGAGGGTAGATATTTTTGTCTGTTTTGCTCACTGCCATTATTCCAGCACCCTAGAACAAGGCCTGGCTCATGCATTTAGTCAGTGAGCTGCTTGTTGGATAAATGCAGGTGAGCTAAATTATCAAGTTAAAGTCACGATTTCTTGATGTGGGAACCATAACCAAATGTAACGCAGCTGGGTTCTAGTACCTGGGAAGGGGAAAGCTACTGTAAGATGGGGCTCGGGAATCAGTAGGACCTGGGTTTGAAATCTAACCTTGTCACTTGTGAACTGTATGACTTCGGATCATACTTAACCATTCTGAACCTCCAATTTCTTCATTTATGGGGATAATGATAGGCTCTACCTTATAGGAGAGTTGGTGGAAACAATCAAAGCAGTGATATGTAGTACTTATCCCTGGCCTGGTGCATAGCAAGTGCTCAGTGAATGCTAGCTAGGAATGTTGGTGCTATTTTGTTGTTAACAGGGAACACCTTGTAAATCAGCAGTGACTGTTGACCATGAGGAAGTGAATGTCATCTTTCTCTGCAGAAAGAAGGGCTTGGTATTAAGAAAAAGGAAGGAGATGAGTCTTGTCCAGTTCCTGCAAGAGCATGGTTCTGGGATCGCTCTTTAAAAAATGAACATAAATTAATAGGAGGTGTTAAGAGGAGAGTGATCAGGATGGTGAAGGTGAAAAGACTCAAAATCATGCCCCATGATGATCACTAGCAAGATCTGGCTTGTTCTGCACCTACCGAAGAAGTTATAGTCCACAGCAGGAGTCCCCAACTCCTGGGCCGTGGACCAGTACCAGTCCGTGGCCTGTTGGGAACTGGGGCACACAGCAGGAGGTCAGCAGTGGGGTAGCTCCATTACTGCCTGAGCTCCACCTTCTGTCATATCAGCCGTGGCATTAGATTCTCATAGGAGAGCGAGAAATGTGAACTGCTATTGTGAACTGCTCATTGCAAGGGATCTAGGTTGCGCGCTCCAGGTTGCGTGATCCTTATGAGAATCTGACTAATGCCTGATGATCTGAATGGAAAAGTTTCATCCAGAAACCACCCCCTCAACCCATCCATGGAAAAATTGTCTTCCATGAAACCGGTCCCTGGTGCCAAAAAGGTTGGGGACTGCTGGTCTACAGCAGGGGTTGGCAAATATTTTTGTAAAAGGTTAGATAGTAAATATTTTAGGCTTCGCAGGCCATATGGTCTCTGTCACAACTACTCAGCTTTACTGTTGAAGTGTAAGAGCATCCATAGGCAAATGAATGTGGCTGTGTTTCAATAAAACTTTATTTACAAAAACAAGTGGAAGGCCATATTTGGTTCCAAGACCTGGGGTTGCTTAACCTTGGTCTTTAGGATCCTACCTTGAGATGGTTGAAAGAATGTTTGAAGGAGGGCTGGGCTGTTCTGAGGGTCCTCAAGGGAAGAAGTGAGGCTGAAGGTTGGAATTTATAGATCCGTAAATTTTCTTACCTTTAAGGGTGATGTTTAATTGGCCAGAGCTTCTGGCTGTGCCTAGTCAGAATGGGCTGCCTGGGGCAAAAGGCTATGAATCCTTATCTGTGGATTGTTCAGGAAAAAGCTAGGGCAGCTTGGCAGAAATACAGGAGAGTGTATTCCAACACTGGGTAAGTCGTTGATTCATTCCTCAGGGGCTTTCAAAATCTCTGCTTATCGGGATGTTCTAAAGCGTGTGCATGTTGCCATTCAGGAAAACAAAGTCGCAGATTGGGCACCTTTCCAATGAATGGGTCATTGAAATATGCAGATTGAAGACAGTCCTACTTTCTAATTATATCACCAGACAGATTTTGTGCACATATCCACAGGTGAAAACCAGCGAGAATGCATTGTCAACTTCACTTAAGATGCAATCCATCTCAGTACTCATCTGGGTCTCTCATGAAGACCCAGACACTGACTGTCAGCCATAGTCACTGTCCTACTAACATAGCATGAGGAATGCATGATAATTCATCTTCCATTTGTATCCAAGAATGGCAAACATCTGCCACAGAAGCCTCCACTCCTCTCACCTCTATGTATTTGAAAAAAATTGCTAATTGATCTTGACTGTCTTTCTTCCTGAACCTTGGCCTCAAATAGTTCAGATTCTAGAATTTTTATAATAGGAGGGACCGGGGCCAGCTGTCTCGTTGGAATAGGGGTGAGGGTGTAGGCTCAAAGCTGAAGTATGTCAAAGAATAGAGCGGAGATGAGTGAGAACCCCCAAAGACCTTCTTCTCTAGGACTTCCATGGCCCCACTACCCAGGAATTATTCACAATATCTTGCTTCAGGCATCAACTATCAACTTATTGAAGGCGGCTGTTTGTCATCTTTGGTTTGGGAAGTCCAAGGGCAACAACAGACATTTTCTAGAACTACCTAGAAGTTGGCTGGGGGACAGTATGAAGACTGTGGATAGCCTGGGATTCTCTACTGAGCATCCTGTGCAGAAAGAATCAGGATCTCAGCATCTTTGATATCATGACATCTTAATCAGATAGCAACTGGAAGTTATTCAAAACTTTTGGATTCAGGCATACCCTAAGCCAGGTGCTAGAAAATGTGAAGTCATAAATTGGTGACATTTATCTGACCTTTTTCTGTGCACTAGAAGCACCTGTGTTCATGCCTCATGAGTAGCAGAGCTGAGTGATGAGAGGAGAATGGGATTCTGGTGAGAGTGTGGGAGTGATGGACTTAGCCATGTGTCCACACTTCAAGCTAAATATGGAATGGAGGCAGGAGAACAAGGGCAGGATCAGTGGTGAATGTGTTTGTGGAGACAGGGTGAGCCCATTTGGAACATCTTCCAGGAGGGAAGCCCCAAGATTTGAGGATTTGGGGGTTAATGTGGAAATAGCCAGGGTCCTGTCCTAGAAAATGTTACCCGACATCAAACACCAAAGGCCAAGGTAACAATGTAAGTGGCAGACCAGATAGAAAGACCAACCATTGGGTGGGTTGGTTGCATAATGAAATTAGTGTGATGGATGGACTAAGGAGGGCAGTTCTAAAGCAAGGCAGGAAGTGGTGAAGGTGCTTGTGTTTGCATCTCACTTAGGATAAAATACAAAACCGTAGCCTAGGTTCCTCAATTTTGGCATTGTTGATATATTGGTCCAGATCATTCTTTGTTGTTGGGGGCTGTCCTGTGCATTGTTGGATGTCTAGCCTCTTACTACTAGATGCCAGTGGTATCTGCTCCACCATAAAAATGTTACAATAAAAAAATGTCTCTAGACATTACTAAATGTCCCTGGGGGGCAAATCACCCCCGGCTGAAGACCACTGCATAGTCTGCCCGGCTGCAGCACACAGCACATGTTATGGAATACAGAAGAGATCTGCCAGTCTAGCCTGTAATGGGGGACCTGGGAGAAATGGAATAGCCTTATGGCCCTGTAGATTTACTGGAGAGTCTCTCAGGTCCAGTGCCAGCTCCCTGCATTCCATCATCCCAACTTAGGAGTTTCACCTGCCGTAGTACATCACACATTTTCCCAATCCAGCTACTATTTTCTGGTATTGTCAATGTTTGCATGGTTTTATCCCCACAAGACTTGAAATCCCCCCAGGGCATGCCTGCATTCCTTTATCTTTGTGTTTCCAGTAGCCAGCATGGAGCCTGGCATATAGAAGTTACTCATTAAATGTTTCCCAAATGCATGCATGCATGCATGGATGAATGAAGTAGTGATTTTGTGGATCATTCCCTGGACCTCCAGCATGACAAATGGACGAGAGGCAAGACCCTGAATCATCAATGCAGAGGAGATATCAGAACTGGAAAGTGATGAGTCCTTTCCTCTTCTGGAAAACATAAGTCAGCCTAGGAATGAGGTTCCTGAGTCACTGAGGCAAAATGAACCCAGAATGGGGACAGGAGGGCCGAGCTTGGGTTTGGGACCAGGCCAGAAGGCTACGTGGTCTTAACATCCTGACAGCGGCCAACTCAAGGCCCCCTCCCTTCAGCATGGCCTGCAGCGGCCACCCTCGCAGCTCGGCTTCCCCCACGCTGCTGGTGGTTGCATAGGCCAGCAGCTGGGAGCACAGCCACCAGTTAATGGATCTCTTAAAGTGGGGACCCAGCCAGGAGCCATCAGCACAGCTCCCTACCAAACAGTCCTACTGAACCGGTTATTTCGATTAAAGGACCATTACCATGAAACCCTATCCAGCCCCAGCTCCCATTTGCCGGCAGGAGGACTTTCTCCTCCTTGTCCCAGGCCCTGCTCTGTGGTTACCCGACGGCCCTCTCACGGGGGCTCACCGCCTTCGCTAAAACACAGCAGCTGCTGCTAATAAACAAACATATTGATCATACCGATACGAGATGTCAGGGACTTAATTCATGAATGAAGTGAGCTTTAAGAGTGCCCAGTGGGAGCTGGCTCCATTTAAAGGGCCAGCAGCTGCCTGAGCACTCTTAAGGGAGGTCCAAAGAGGCCAGGCAAGATAACCTCTCTCTTCCCTGTGTCCTATGGTGTGCTGTTGGGGAGAAATGGAATCTCCTGCCCCATAGTTATCACCCTGTCTGACCCACCTTCCTCCTCCTTGATCCTTTTTGCAGCTTGGAGAGAGTCGGCTGAGGCTGCCGTGGACTCGTATCTAACAAGGGCTGGAGCCACTGTAGTGGAGGAGCAGGAGAAGAGGCTACACTAGCTCTTGGCTCAGCCTCTCAGGCCTCTTACCCTAATGATGTGATGACGGCCTTGGTCCTGAACCAGTCTCTACCAGGATCTGCTATCTCATTAGAGCAAGTGGCGTAAGCACTCTGAAAATCATGCTGAAGGGTCCACTCCACTAGTGGTGGAGTGCTTCTCCAGTACGCTGGCCCCAGCCCTTGTTAGGCACGAGTCCACTCCAGCCTCACCTGACCATCTATCTCCAAGTTGTGAAAAGGGTCCCGGAGGAGAACAGTGGAGAGTTGGGGAGGGAGATAACCATGGGATGAGAGATTCCATTTCACTCCAACAACACACCATAGGACTCAGGGCAGAGAGAAGTTCTCTCGCCTAACCTTTTTGAGATTTCCCTTAACAATGCTCAGGCAGCTGCTGGCCCCTTGGGATGCCAGAGGGCCTAGACATTTCTTCTGTAACCACTTCCAAGCCAGACAGACCACCCCCTTGATAATTTTAGCATTTAGTCAAGAGCGAAGGCTCTGTAGCCAGAGTTCTAGAATTTAAATCACAGCTCTATCACTCACAAGCTATGTGATTTCAGGCAAGTTTCTTAACCTCTCTGGGCCTTATCTATACAAAAGGTAAAATTGTTGGTGTAGAGAGTAAAATGAACCCAATATGTGCTGTGCTTGCAACAGTGCCTGGCACTTATTACATGTTCAGTAACAGTGCTCCCAGCCCCATCCTGCTGTGATGGCCACGGACCCGCACTGCATCCTTATCTCTCTGTCCCTCATGTATTCTCAGGTACCACTCAGGAGCAGGAGGTGGCTTCATGGAAGTACAACACGCTGCAAAACACGTTTCATCTTTTCTCAGTGTCCAGATGGGCAGCTTCAGCCTGAGCCCTGGCCCAGTTGCTAGCTGGAAACTCAGAGTGGCTTCTGCACCTAGGCTGAAATCTAGCCACCCTGAGCCCTCCCAGGCCTGAGCTTTGGACTGCTGTGGGAGAAGGCTAGTCCTTCAGCTCCCACAGCTCTTTGCTGTAATCCCTCCTCCTCTCGGCTTTGTCTAGAGCTGCACTGACCCAATATGGTGGCGACCACGAGTCACATGTGACTAAGTACATTTCAGTAAATTAAAGTAAAACTAAAAATTCAATTCCTTAGTCACACTAGCTACATGTGGCTACCACATTGGACACTGCAGACTATAGAACATTTCTTTTTTCTTTTTTTATTTCCCTAGAGACAGGGTCTTGCTCTGTCACCTGGGCTGGAATGCAGTGGTGTGATCATAGCTCACTGCAGCCTCAAATTCCTGGGCTCAAGTGACCCTCCTGCCTCAGCCTCCTGAGCAGTTGGTACTATAGGTGTATGCCACCACACCCTAATTCTTTTTTAAATTTTTTATTTTTTTGTAAAGACAGAGTCTCACTTTGTTGCCCAGGCTGATCTTGAACTCCTGGCTTCAAGCGATCCTTCTTCCTCAGCCTCCCAAAATGCTGGGATTGTAGGTGTGAGCCATCACCCCCAGATAGAACATTTCCATCTCTGCAGAAAGTTCTGTAGTGCTGCTCTAGAGGTCTATGGCAAGGAGGGAGGCACACAGTTTTAAAACCCCTTGCTACTCAAAGGGAGGTCTATGGGCTTTGCATCCATATCACCTGGGAGCCTCTTAGAAATGCACACTCTCAGGCCCTGACCCAGACTGACTGAGTCAGAATCTGCATTTTTTTTTTAAGACAGAGTCTCACTCTGTCACCCAGGATGGAGTGCAGTGGCACAATCTGGGCTCACTGCAATCTCTGCCTCCCAGGTTCAAGCAATTCTCCTGCCTCAGCCTCCCGAGTAGCTGGGATTACAGGCATCCATCACCATGCTTGGCTAATTTTTTTTTTTGTATTTTTAGTAGAGATGGGGTTCCACCGTGTTGGCCAGGCTGGTCTCGAACTCTTGGCCTCAAGTGATCAGCCTGCCTCAGGCTCCCAAAGTGCTGGGATTACAGGTGTGAGCCACTTGCCCAGAATCTGCATTTTAATAGGATCCCAGGTGATTCCTGTGCATACCAACGTTTGGGAAATACTGCTCTAAACCTCAATCTTCCTGTTATAGAAAGTGGGAATCATACCTTGTAGGATTAAAGAAGGTACCCCCTAAAAACTTCTTGCCCAATAGTGAGTGCTCAATAAAATCTAGATGCCTTAACCAACCTCATCTGCCTCAATGAAAAAGTGATTTGTCTGAGTGTCATGGAGGACCTGATGTTGTTTGGAGACCAGAGAGTGCCACCTGTTGTCCTTCCCAGCTGTAGAGGCAGAGTGTGAGGTCTGAAAGGGATCTGCATCTGCTCTGGGCACGTGTGAGTGTTTTCTTTCCAAAGCCCAAGCTGCAAAACCCTCGAGGCCCACGGCTCAGAGATGTTTATCAGTTGAGTTCAGAGTCAGCATCAGAGTGAAGGACTAGGGACCCAGGTAAAAGGAAACATTGTGTTTGGTCATTAGTAAAGTGACAGTTAAACAGATAAGCAAGCAGATAGATTATCTCAATGCACTGTGGTGAGGAAAAGGCAAGGGCCATGTCCACGTGGCTGTGGGAGCTGAGGGGCGCTTTGCCATGGAGCAGGCAGGGGGCAGGGAGGGTGCCTGGGGAGGCTTCTGAAGCAGGGGTCTCCTAAGTTCAGATGAGATGGTTGCAGCACAGGGGCTGGCAGGGGAGACATGAGTGGGCACAGTGGGCAAAGGCAGCCTGTGATGGCAAAGGGATGGAGCTATGCACCAAGCTGGGAGTACAGGGCACCACGCATTGCTTGGTTCTGTTGGAGGATGAAGGATAAGGGTACGTGGAGTCTGGGAGGAAGGGCAATTGAGGTTAGAGGTGGGCAGGAGTTCAGACACAGGATGGTGTGTGTGGCACTAACAATTATCCTGTAATGAGAAAGCTGCTGAGGGGTTTTAGGTAGAGGAATCATGAGGCTGCATTTTTGAATTAGAAAGATCACAGGAGCAACTGCGTGAAGCAGGAGCTGGAAGCAGAGATCATTAGGGGTTAGTGTCCAAGTCCAAGGAGAGACAGTGTAGGCATGGACACTGGCAGGCAGGTTAAGGGGAGAGGAAGGAAAGTGTTGAGGACAAGAGGCCACACATTAACATGTCAGCTGTTAATTTTGAATTATTAATTTTGAATTTGTGATCAGTTTTTTAAAAAGTTTACTTGTGTTCAGAAATAATTCTTCAGACAGGGTGCAAGTCCCCAAATCTATGAGACAGTGAAAGCTGTTTACAGAGGAAAATTAATAGCCTTAAACGCCTTCATTACTAATGCCTTCACTTCTAATGAAGAAAGACCTTCCCTCGAAGAAAGGGGTGGTGTTTAGCACTCATCTGAAGAAATTAAAATAGGAATGACTAAATAAACCCAAAGAAAATGGGGAAAGAATATTAATAAAGATGAAAGTGATGGTTAATAAGACATAAAACAATGTATGTTAGAAAGAAATAAAACCAGAAGACTA
Source organism: Homo sapiens (assembly GCF_000001405.40). Classification (NCBI taxonomy): domain Eukaryota; kingdom Metazoa; phylum Chordata; class Mammalia; order Primates; family Hominidae; genus Homo; species Homo sapiens. Next base: position 88,320,266 of record NC_000015.10, on the reverse strand, counting down.
GCAAAATAGATGAACGTGCCTTGAGTGCCTGATTAAGGGGAGGGGAGATATTAAAGAGAGAAAACAGAGCTGATATAAATTAATTGCCTCAGCAAGATGCTTGGGAGGAAACTGTAAACACAGTACTTGAGATTCAAGAGCCTCTTCCTATACCGATAATGGACCTGGCAACTCCAGTTCATGCTTAACCTTCTGTTCCCTGGAGCCTGAGGATACCAGCAATATTTTGTTAATATCATTCTCCTTTCCGTCATACAAAATACAGCGACTCACATTTATCCAGCTTTTCTTCTATATGTCAGACGCTATGCTAACTACTATGCATAGACTTTATTTTAATCCTCCCAAAATTGAACCAGGTGAATTCGGGCCAAGTATGACATCATTTTACAGATGAGAAACATCAAATTTAGCATGACAGATTCATTTGCCCCATGCGCCCACCTCTCTCGAGAGGCAGCATTTGCGCTGGGACAACATGACTCCTGGCCTTCTGTGCCCATACAGTTTAACTGATGCCTCTCCCTCAGTATACCTTCCCCCCGGGTGAGCATGTTTGGAATATTCAAAGGTGTAGGAGGAGCACTTTGGTTTTGACTCAGCGATAATCTGGACCCTGGGTTCCAGTCACATTGTTGTCACTTAGAGGCTCAACTTGGGGGCTTTGTCACTTAAGGCTTCTAAGGCTAAGCTAAGCCTTCTTAAGGCTCAGTTTACAACTCTTCTTTAAAATAAAGGAGTTGGACTGGGCCCCTATGCTTTTAAAATTCTTTTATATCTTTAAAAATGCCTTATAGTCAGACCTCACTGCTAATGAAGGTGGGCCTCGACATTCCGTATCAATTAGGCATGGATGTTCCAGCCCTGTCAGTCTTACCTTCTGTGCAGGATCCCTGGCTCCCCTCTAAATAAGTGTACCAGATACCAGCACATAAACTGCCACAGTAGGAAGTACAGACAGTGGCATATGGTGGTACTGCCCTTAGACCTGGTTGGACACACCTACTAGAACCCCCACTCTCTTATATTCTGAGACAGGGTCTTGCTCTTTCTCCCAGGCTGGAGTGCAGTGGCACAATCATGGCTCACTGCAGCCTTGACCTCCTGGCTCCATCAATCCTCCCACCCCAGTTGCCCAGGCTGGTCTTGAACTCCTGGGCTCAGGTGATCTGCCTGCCACACTCTCCTCTTGACCACACTTCCCAAGCCTACTTCCAGGGCCTGTGTAGGCCTCCTACTCCTGGCCCACCTCTCCCTGATGGATTCACTGGTGTGTGCATGTCCAGCCCCATGTGGTGTCCGGGGGCAAGTGCTGGGGCTGTGGACAGAGTTGGGCTTTGCAGGACTTACAGGCTGGAGTGCATCAGGTTCCTTGTGGTGTGAGAATGAGCTGGGAGTGGGAACAGAAGGGGAACACTGGCATGGGGCCTCCCACTGGAACTCACGCCCTGCCATGTGGTGCCCTAGAATTTAATAAAGGAAAATTCAATGGCCTGGTAACAGTTAAACTCCCCACAAAAGACACATATGCATGAGAATATATGTACATATATATATGAATGTGGATAATAGACAGGCAAAAATGATAGGTCACAGGACAGGTCAAGCTTGATCATTAGAGGGCTGGGTAAACGAGCACAACTGTGGCAAGAGAAGCCCTCAGAAAGGGGCTGCACTGCCTAGAAGAATTTCGGGGGCCAGGATAGAGAGAAAGCAAACTAACAGAAATGTATCTTAGCCTTCTGATCTCACAACTAGCTCACTTCCTTTGGCCCTGGCTTGAACCTGACTGGAACAATTTCCTCCAAATAGATGTGCCAGGATTCATTCACTCCTTCATGGCTCCATCAGCGAATATTTATGGAGCACCTCTCATGTAAAACACAGTGCCAAGGATGGCAGTGAGCAGAACCAGATCTGGCTCTGCCTCATGGAAATGCAACCTGGTGATGAGAGACACATGTGGATTGAAGAATCGTAGAATGGTGCAGGTAAACCAATGCTTGCGAGGCACCCATAGTGGGGAAGGTCCGAGGGCTCCAAGGTGCCCAGCACAGGACCTGACCTGGGATGGTAGTGGTAGGTGCTTTCCTGAGGATGTGACATTTGGGGATGGGACAGCTTGTGTGTGGTCCCCGGGATGGATGGAAGGCCAGTCTGCTTAGGGGTAAGAAATGGATGGGGAGAGGAGGCCAGATGAGGCTGGAAGGTAAGCAGGGGTCAGGAAAGAAGAGGGAAGCATCAGGGGAGTTTCTGGCTCCCAGAGCCCCTTGAAGGTGGGGCCTTCCTGAGATAAGGAAACTGGAAGAGAATCACTTCTAGGGGTGGAGATTTCAGGGAGGTCATGAATTTGGCCTCCTAGTCATGAATTTGACCTGCCGATCTTGAAGTACTTAAAAAATAATTTATTTTGAAATAATTTATCTCGAAATAATTTCAAACTTAAGAGCTGCAAGAACTGTACAAAAATCTCTTGACTTCCCTTTTCTCAGCTTCCCCGGTAGTTAGCATTTAATCACATTTGTTCCAACGCCCTTAAATGCTCCCCTAAAGACACCGTCCTTCATTACCACCACACAAGCCCCAAATCAGGAAAGAAGCCACAAATCCCATTCAAATGTCATCAACCATCTCAACAACCTTTCTCCTTATGGCCCAAGATCCCGTCCAAGAACACACGTTGCATTTGGTTGCCAAGTCATTTTGGTCTCCTTGCGTCTGAAACACTCTCTCACTGTTTCCCTGGCTTTCATGTGCAGTTTGAAGGGTACAGGCCTGTCTTTCTGTGTGATGATGTGTGTGATATCTGTGTGATGAAGCTCAGCCCACTTTAATGTGGGGTTTCCTCGTGACAAGAGTCTTTTAAAAACATGTCAGGTTTATTGAGGTTTAATTTACACATGGCAGCATTCATCCTTTCTAGTGTGTTTTTATGGGTTTTGACAAATGCATAGCACCAGGTAGTCATACCACCATCAAGATATACAGCATTTTCATCCAGGGCATTTTTCCTGGGCATGGGACCTGTGCACGCTCCACACATAGAAGAACTCACGCTTGGTTGAATGGTATTGGTATCCTGTCACTGTCTTTCAGTTCTTAATAATTTTTAAACAAGGGACTCCACATTTTCATTTTGCACTGGACCTTGTGAATTATGTAACCAGTCCCGTTTCCCATCACACTAAAAAGTTTCCTGGTGCCCTTTTCTTTGACTATCTGTTTCCTATCCCTGAGTTTTGTTTTTTCCTGGTTTCATATAAATGGAATCATCTCGTATGTAGCCTTTCAAGATAGATTTCCCCTTCACTTAGGGTAACGCATCTGAAATTCATCCTTGTTGTTTTATGTATTAGTAGTTTGTTCCTTTCTATTGGTAAATATTATTTCACTGCATGGATGTATCACAGTTTGTTTGTTTATTCACCAGTTGAAGCACATTTGAATTGTTTCCAATATTTGGCACAATAAACATATACATACAGTTTTGTGTAAACACGTGTTCTTATTTCTCTTGGATAAATAGCAGTAACAAATAGAGTGGGATTGCTGGGTCAAATGGAAAGTATATGTTTAACTTTAGAAGGAACTGCCAAATTGCCTTACAGAATGGCTGTATCATTTTGCATTCCCGCAAGCAATTCATGAGGGTTCCAGCTGCTCCAAGTCCTTGCCAGCACCGCGTGTTGTCAATATTTTTTTATTTTAGCTGTATCAATAGGTGTGAAGTGGTATCTCGTTGTGATTTTATTTTGCATTTCCCTAAAGAATAATGATGTTGGGCATCTTTTCATGTTTGCCATCTGTAGATCTTCTTACATAAAGTGTCTATTCAAATCTTTTGCCTATTTAAAAACTAGGTTTATAGCCAGGCGTGGTGGCGCATGCCTGTAGTCCCAGCTAGTTGGGAGGCTGAAGCAGGAGAATTGCTTGAACCCGGGAGGCAGAGGTTGCAGTGAGTCAAAATCATGCCACTGCACTCCAGTCTGGGTGACAGAGCAAGACTCTGTCTCAAAACAATAACAACAAGAAAAACAAACAAACAAAGAAACGAAGAAAACTAGGCTTGTTTTCTTATTATCAAGTTATGAGTGTTTTAAAATATGTATTCTGGATACAAGTTCTGTATCAAATATGTGTTTCATAAATATCTCCTCCTGAAGTGCTTTTGAAGTGGTTAGAGCTGACGCTCAGAGGAAAGTTCTAGGCTGATAATATAAAATACAACTTAATTAGTGTGTAAATTAGAATTGAAGACATGGGCATGGGTACAATTGTCCAGGGAGAAAGAACAGCCTTGAAAGAAGAGGTGGCTTCAGACCAAGCATTTAGGAATTACAACATTCAATAGCCAGGCGAATGGGATGTGCTAGAAAAGGAGATTAAAAAAGAGCTGCCCACATTGTAGGAGAAAACCCAGGAAAGTGTGAGGCCAGAGAAGACAAGAGAAAGGAGTGTTTCAAGAAGAAAGAAATGGTTAAGAGAGTCAGATGCAGTTGAGAAATTAAGTAAGATGAGGACTGAAAAATATCCTTACTACATTTAGCAACATGGAAGTCTTTGATGAGCTTAGCAAGAGCTATTTATGTGGAGTGATGGAGCAAGGCTGGTATTCACACCATACCAAATGATACAGCCATGCTGTGTGAACACGTGGAAATACTTATATATTGGTTGGTAAATAGCTACCACCCCAATCCCCCTGAATGATCCCCCATAGCCCCAGTTCATTGTCTCTCTCCCTGGCTCACCTACAGACCTCAACATGATTCAGTAGCAAAAGTCAACCTCCCAACCAGCAGGGGGATGTAGGACCTTGCCAAGCTCTATGGCTGGATGATTGCTTTCCAAGCCATCTTGGTAACTAAGTATCTTGGTTACTTAGATACTTATGTCACTGCTGGATGGATGTCATATTGAAGTGGATTGAGAAATCAATGGGAAGTGGAGAAACTGAGACAATGACAATGAACAATTCTTTATAGAACTTTTGTTTTGAAAGGGAGGAGAGAGAGAGAGGGGATAGAAACTGGATGTGAGGCCCAGGGGCGTTAGATTGTGTTCATTGTTCTTTTTTAGGTGAGAGACTTCAGTGTGTCTAAATGCTGATGGAAGGATTTTGACCAAGAGAAATTGCCCTAGTCGGCAAGACCCAGGCACTCTAGTATGCATGACCGTTATGCTTACAGTATTTTTCAATGTAAATTAATAAGTTAGAGTCCAGTTTATATATCTATCTAAAGAACTCAGTTGATTTGAGTTGTCCCTAATTGACAGATCAGTTCTCTGTGTTAACACCTCAAGTTTCTGAGCCTCTCAGTTTGAGGACCAGATCCTGGACTCTAATGAATTCACTGATGCATATGCTACCTTGGGAGACTGATATGGTTTGGCTGTGTCCCCACCCAAATCTCATCTTGAATTCCCACATGTTGTGGGAGGGACCCAATGGGAGGTAATTAAATCATGGGGACAAGTCTTTCCCGTGCTGTTCTCGTGATAGTGAATAAGTCTCACGAGATCTGATGGTTTTAAAAAGAGGAGCTCCCCTGCACAAGTTCTCTCTCTTTGCCTGCCTGCTGCCATCCATGTAAGACATGACTTGCTCCTCCTTGCCTTCCACCACGATTGTGAGGCTTCCCCAGCCACGTGGAACTGTGAGTCCAATTAAACCTCTTTCTTTTGTAAATTACTCAGTCTCAGGTATGTCTTTATCAGCAGTGTAAAAACGGACTAATACAGAGACCCATTGGCCTTCTGCTAACCCTGCCTGGCATCATCTTAATCTCCCTGCTAGAGATCTGTTAAATCTTCTAACCATCCCAATCTAGGCCAGTCAGGACCACCTCCCAATTTCTAGTGCAAGCCACAGTTACTCCTAGCAGATCCTTGAGATCACCAAGTGTGTGGGTCATTGAGCATTGATAAGTTGTGAACCCTGCCCTCATCTTGTAGGTGGAGAGACAAGGCAGTGTTAAACCAAGTTAGAATAATATAAGGTGGACTGCAACATGTACCATCATAAGTATAAACAGTATGATGGGAGCCCACAGCAGGGTGCAACAGGCTCTGTTGGGGAGGTAATTAATTCTGCAGTGCAACTTGGTATTCTTCTTGCCAACCCTGCATATCATCTCCCTTTCACTACATGTTCCCTCATTCACACTCCATGCCCAAGGAAGTATTAATAGTATCCTCAAATGGTACCTCTGGAGGTGCTTTCCATCTGCACAGCTGCATGGGATTGGGATTAGTTCAGGCACCTGCTGGTCCTGGAGCTTAGAACCTAATCACATTCCCTTCCCTTAGACTGTCTTCAGACACACACAGCACAAAGGTCCACTTTGCCCACCCTCTCAAAGATGCTTTCTTTCTGCCTGTTGTACAGCTATTTTACCCTCCCAGGGTTGACTTTCTAAGTCCTCCCAGCAAGGCTTTCCACCACCTCATTGACTTGAAAGAGGGGAAAACACAAGCTTCATTCAGGGTGGATCGTTTTGATACAGAAAAGATTTGCTTTGCCCCAAAGGGAAGGCCGACTTTTCTCTTCTGGCGCAATTCTCTGGGTCCTTGTAGCTTTCTGCTCACACTGACTCACAAATTCCCGAGGTCTCCTTTCCTCTTGGATGGAACTACCCTCACATTTCCCGGCTAGCAAAGGGAGAAGTTGTACCCAATAGTGCTGAAGGCCTCCTCCAGCTCTGCTGACTTATGAGCCTTTGTCCTTTGTGGTTTGTCCTGAGCCAAGGACAACTAGGCACTGCCCTATGCATTGCCCACCTGAAACAGCTGCCCACACGTGACGCCATTAAGGAAGGCCACCCTGGTCTTGCGGTGTTTCAACTGCAAGGTTACAAAGTAAAGATAATGGGAAATAATGCTGCTTCATCATTTTTAACCTTTCTGAATAATGCCTCTGTGCATAACCCAGAGATTTTTATTTTAAAATCAATTGTGCTTATTGTGTTCTTTGGAAACATAAACGAGAAGCTGGGAAGAAAGAAGTGGGATCCAGGGTTTATTAAGACAAAGAGTTTGGAGTGGGGTGTGGGAATGTGGTCCTGCCTAGCCTAGACTGCTGTTGTCCTGGAGGACAGGGTTAGCAGCTGAAAACCCCAAGTGGTTGCTATGGGAGAAGAGAGCTTCTCACGCTGCAAAAATGTACCAGACATATGTGGGCAAAGCATCTGTCTTCTATTACCCTCAGGCGCCCAGAGAACCTCCATTCTTATCCCAAGGAAAATGGGGCTCTGGCCCTAAGGAAGAGCTTTTAAGAGAAAAATATCAGACATCAAATTCAGCTTCAGCCACTCGTTAGCTGTGTGGCCTTGGGAGGGTTACATGATGCCTCTTCTGCAGAATGCAGGCGACAACACCTATTTCTTGGAGGTCAGAGGGCCCCTGAAACAGCATACACCCTGGACCAGAGTAACCAATGGCTTGTTTAGAAGCCCAAGGCTCAGCCCCAAAGTAGCATGTGGAAGTGTGGGTTGCAGGAGTGGAGGGGCTGGTAACTTGAGAGAACAAAGTCAAGCTCAGTGGGTATAAGAGGGGCTGTCATCTCAGCCCAGTCGATTCTGCAGCTGCCTTGGGCATTCTGGTGACAGCACTTGGAGCAGTGGAAACCCCATGCATGGCCACATAGTGTCCATGCTTGGCTCTGTTAAAGCCACAACATACATACACAAATCATACACGCACACACACACACACCACGCACACCACACCATTTGCCCTCAGCCCCATCTCACCACTCAGAACCTCATACTCCTTTTCCAAATCTACTTCACTTCTTATAGGAGAAAGCAGGGAAGCTCTTTTTATCACTTGCAGGGGAAAACCATGAAGAGCATGGGCCACATTAGACTGTACTAGGGCGTGCTCATTTTTGCTAGTTACATTACTATGCATAATCTAACAGCCACCTGGTGTAAGAAACAGAGCAGGCCCTCCAAGAGGCCAGGGAGCTTTTCCCTGAGCGAGCCCTTAGCTCATTTTGGCACTCCTACAGATCTTGACACAAGTAGGGATGGTTATTTTCCAGCCTGGGCCTTAGTGCTGGCAAAGACATCTTACTGGAGAGGCCATACCCTCACTTTAATCCCAGTGATCCGCATTGATCTCTTTTCTGCTGTTCTCTAGGACTCACTTATTTGCCACCTATGTCCTAATGGGACTAAAAGTAGGAAGGTGGAGCGAGGGAGGAGGGATGCAAAAAGTAACTGTTTCTTCTTGCTCACCAGAGATTATTCATGAGGTTTGATCCACCAGATTTGGGATTATTTTCATTCCCTGCCTGAAGTAAATGAGCTGAGCATGGCGGCAGACTTGGGGTTAGGGAGCAGATGCTTAAGGTGTGAGGATCTGCAGGGAGATCTCAGAGACCTGGGGCAGTGTCAAAGGTTCCACGGTGGCTTTTTATTGTCCTAGAGATCAAGCCCTTCTTCTTACACTGTCTTCACCAATGAGCACAGAGGTCCATGTGTACCTTCTCAGTGCAGTATCAATTGTGTCCTATGTGCATAGCATCACCTGGAGTTGGGCAGCATGGCAGCCCTGATTCCCATCACTGTTCAAGCCCTAGCTGCAATAGGCATTGCTTTGTGGGTCTGTCACTCCTGCCTGTCATATGCTTTATGTCTGGAATGGTCCTTCATATCCTGCATCAAAACTGGCTCTCTAATACTTATACCATCCTAGAACTCCAAACTCATTCAAGAAGCAATTTCACATGTCTAAGAGATATCTATGGCTCGACCTTATCCAGGCAAACACCCATCTTACCAGGTAGGGTAGACACTGCTGGTTGCCTACATAATAGATCTCTCTGTATCCCAAATCCCGTCTTGTTGTTAGGGTTGGCCTTCTACTCTAAGTGTTAGAAAGTCACTTACTCACCTCACTAGGCTCCTTTGCATCCAGAGCATGGACAATGGGATCTAATCTTTACCAATGGGGCAATGTGCAGGGAGATCTCCAAGAAAGATTTTCCTCCCTGGTAAAAAGAGACATGTGAGGATAAAATGCCATTTTTAATTCTTAAGAATATGGGGTGTGAGGATATGATACCTGGAGCCGCAGCAGTCATCTTGACACCATGAGGATACACACCTTAAGAAAATTGATGCTGACAGCAGAAGGAAAGAAAGAACCTGGTTCCTTGATGACATTGTTGAACCACTGGATAGACCTTTGAATGCTGCTGGTTCTGTGACTTCTTGTTAGGTTTGGTAATTAAATGCCCTTCTTGATTAATTTTTATGGGACATTTTGTTACATGCGGCCAAAAGCCTCATCACTGGGCTTCAGAACCCGACTACCACCATCAGTGTGTGGAACTCTGTAGTGGTGGAAAAGGAGTCCTGGCTATTATGTCCAGCTCGTCTACCACCTTCTTGTGGTGAGTCAGGGACTGGTAGGAAATAGCCTTGAAGGTCAGGCTAGAGCTCAGTTCTTGATGAGAACTGGAGTAGGTTCAAGGAATCAGGTGCCAGGACACAAGGTCACCCCAAGTGTGCTAGGCAAAGAGGTTACAGCATTACCCTCTTAAAAGCATTCAGGGAGTTATTCTAGCCCCGTGCCCACCTAGAACATGGTATTCCAGTCTTAGACCACCTCTAAAAGCCTGTCTCATATGAGTAGGGGGAGGTCTGAACAAGCTCTATGGCTGGCTGGCTCTTGTTGGCTCAGGGACTGGCCAGGATGAGCTTGCAGTTGGCAGGGTTCACAACCCACACAGGACATGGGGCGAAGTCTGCAAAAGGCTTAGCTGAGGTGTGGCCTGACACCCTTGGCTAAATTTTGATCTTTGCTTTTTGAATTTTTCATGCTGTTCCTGTCTTCCCTCCCCTTGGCTATGAAAAAGTGGCCTATGCCATACTTACTGCTTAGGCTCAAATTACCCTTTGAGGAAACATCCTTGTCTAGGGCAGGTGCTGCTCCTTACTGCAAGGCAGGGCCCCTAAAATCCCATCTGTCAGATGGGGAATATCTTTTAAAATCACAGGACATTAGGACTGAAGACACTGTGACCCAGATAGTGACAGACGATTTGCTAAGGTCACCAGCTGGTTACTGGAAGAGCCTGCTTAGAATCAACACTCTGGATGCTGAGTTTGATGCATCCTATATGACACTAAAAATAATTCACTGGTTCATTTCATGGGTGCCCCCACACGGCCATAATGACATGGGCAAACGTGTTCTTGAAAATTGGGGCTGAGGACAGACCAATTCATCCTTCTTACCCTCTGACTTTTTATTACCTTCCAAGACTTGTACTCAAGTCATTGGGGAAAAGATGATATCAGAGCATTGGGATTCTCAGCCATAGGTGTGAGAGGCCCTCAGGTTTTGATGGGTACATCTTTTTTAGGACTAATTTTTATCAGACGACGGTGGGCCCAATTTGGTGTGGCATGGATAAATAATTTAACTCTTGTATTTTTTGAAAACTAGACATCACTCAAGGGTGATTCATCAATAGCAGTGTCAGTGACACCATTATTTCTGAGGAGCTGTATGATAGGTAGCTTATGAGATCTTCCCCCCCATTGAAGTAGTTTACAGGCTAAAATAATTCAAGAACCACTGTCATTCTTTGTGTTTTGTAGGTCACTCAAATGAAAATTTAAGGACTAGTGAAGCAATCTGTATTTGTCAGGGAAGGAGCGTACTCCAGAAGGTGGCCCCTAGTGGTAAGAAAGTCCTCAGGGGAACAGGTTGAATTCTGAGTGACTAGAATAACTTACTCCGTTGTGTTTTGAATACAGATGGCTTGCATCTGCCTGTATGATGTGTATATATACACCTTCACTCAGTCATGTGTGATGGCATAGCATCACCCACAAAGTCACCCCTCCACCTGCAACGACACCCATGGTGTGGTGTGGTGGAAAGTACACAAATCTGGCCGATTGCGGTTTCTCACGCCTGTAATCCCAGCACTTTGGGAGGCCGAGGTGGGCGGATCACGAAGTCAGGGAATAGAGACCATCCTGGCTAACACGGTGAAACCCCGTCTCTACTAAAAATACAAAAACAAAATTAGCCGGGCCTGGTGGCAGACGCCTCTAGTCCCAGCTACTCGGGAGGGTGAGGCGGGAGGATGGTGTGAACCTGGGAGGCGGAGTTTGCAGTGAGCAGAGATTGCGCCACTGCACTCCAGCCTGGGCGACAGAGCGAGACTCCGCCTCGGAAAAAAAAAAAAAAAAAAAACAACCGCAAATCTCAAAGTGAAGCAAATTTGGGATCCAATTCCAGCCCACCAGCCAATTGTCTGGAAGTATTCTCTTTCCCTCACTGTATCTCAGTTTCCAAATCTGAAAAATAGGGATAATTATATTGACCCCTTCAGGTTTCAGTAAAGATTAAGTGAGATCCCTTATTTAAAAAGAGCATGGCATACAGTAGGGCCTCAATGAATGCCAGTTCCCTTTCTTCTTTCCTTTTCCCTCACCATCTGCCAGCTGTTCTGGGAAATTTGGTTCCGGCCCCTGGCAGTCTGTACATCATAAACTTCACAGCCACGCTGTGGGAAAGACCCAGCACAGTGAAGATGCTGGGAGCAACGGTCTTTCCTGCTGCTCTCCACATCCCTTAAGCAGATGCATCTGCTTCTCGGCAGAAAGCAATCACATCCCTCTCTTCCCCAAAGGGAACCTGACTTCTGAGACCTTTTTAGGCATTGGGTATCAGGGTAATAATAGTAACAGCTTCCGTTTATTGAGTTTTTACTATGTGCCAAGCATCGCGTTAAGCGCTTTATGTGCGTTCTTACCACGTGGCAGGAATGAGCATCCTCAGACTGAGGAAACCCAGGTAGGGAGAAGCTAAGTTGCTTATGCAGGGTCACATAGCTAGGAAGAACTGGACTCAGGATAGAAATCCCAAACCAAACCTCACTCTTGATCAAGGGCCCCAGCAAGATGTACGGTATACATCTGCCTTTGTGTGAATGTAGCACGTTATGACTATCTTATAATTGTCGTCAATACTGCATTGTCATGGATAATGTGCATTTTAAAATTTCAGACTCCAGCACGACCCAAGTAGGTATCAGATAATGTCTGTCCTTTCTGTTTGCTAAAATATATGTTTATAAAATGTAGGTAAGTGCTACTCAAAATGTGGCCCCAGCTTCACCAGGGAGCCTGCTAGGAATGCAGATTCTCAGGCCCCGCCCCAAATTTGCTGAATCAGACTTGGGGGGCAGGCTCAGGGATCTGTGTTTTAGCAAATCTCCAGGGGATTCTAACTTATAAGAAGCACTGGAATGGATGTTTCTTTGAGGTCCTCAGCACACAGCTTTGCAGAAAAATAGCGAATTAAAACCCACCATCCCCTGATTGGTTCAATCAGCTGGTGGGAGGTTTCTACGTTGTGCCAAAGACCTTGCAGTGTTCTTGCTTTCTGAGAACGTGAGGCTGACCCGTTATTTTGCTGAGAGCTGCTAAATGAAGGAAGAACCATCAGCTTCCTCTTTGACTGCACGACACTCTCCTATCCCTTTCATCCAGCGACAATGGCAGCAAGCACAGCCACCCTCGGAAAGATTTAAATACTCAATTAATCAATGGAATATTCCATTAGTGGGATAATCAGTTGCCACTGCCCTGATCTATAGTTACATCTCAGCTGGGCCTCACAAATTGATTCCTGATGAAGTTCTAATTGACTGGACCATCTGATAAAGGGCCAGTTGGAGCTTATTGAAATACCCGGTGAGCAGTCCCTGGGGTCAGGGCCTTCCTTAAGGGAAGGCAGAGGGTGGAAAGAGGGGCAGAGGAGCATGATTTATGCCTGGTTCTCACTACATCTCCTCTCCAACACAACATTTATGGGTCCCAGGTGAGGGATGAGCACTCACAGCTGGGATGTGGGGATGACACAGCTGCTCTGAGCCTACCCCCAGCCCTGGGTGGCAGGTGGCCTGAATGGGATTTGCCCAGGAACTCTCGGGGCAATATCTCAAACTTGAAGATGCTTAAGAGTAACCCAAAGAACTTACAAATGTAGGGTTTCAAATCCTGGTGTCAGATATTCCAACTTTCTGGGTCTGGGGCATGTTTTAGGAATCAGTGTTTTGACAGATCTCCCAACAGTTCTTATGCTGGTGGCTTCCAAACCTCACTTTGAGAAATACTGCCTTAGGAGCTGGTGGCTTAGAAGCAGGCTGTGTCCCCAGGGTCCAGCTTCCTCTGGGGGAGATTAGAGCTTCTTAGGCCACGTGTGGGGACACACATATCTGTGCATTATCTAAGGATCCCAGCCTCTTTCTTCCCTAGCACCATTTTCGTTATTTTTTTCATTTGTTTGGAGTGATATTTCCTTCAAAATAATTTATGTTTACTACCAATGAATTTGCCTTCACATTTTGATTAATCTAAGATATATATATACACACATATATACGTGTATATATATACACATATATACACACATATATACGTGTATATATACACATATATACTTGTATATATACACATATATACACACATATATACGTGTATATATATACACATATATACACACATATATACGTGTATATATATACACATATATACACACATATATATACGTATATATATATACATATATATGTATATATATACGTATATATATATATACAGCGACGTATGCAATGGAAACAGTGTAGTATCACATTTATTTGTTTCATTCATCCAGTGGCCACTTATTCATCAGACATCATTTAAGGATCATTATGTGCCAGGCATTGAGGATATTTTTTTAAAAAGTGAAATCAGTCAAATGCATGGTTTCCAACTGCAAGGAGCTCACACCCCTTTGCGGGAGACAAGCAAGAAAATGACGTGATACATTAGAGATAAGTACAGGACCCTGCTGTGAGCTTTACTACTAGGCTTTGTTGAAGGAAAATATATAATACCTATTAGGTTTTAATACCTATTATGTTTTTTAGAAAATTTGAAAACAGCTCCTGGAGCCCTGCATCTACCTTTGAGAATTCCCCCAGAACAGGGAGTCCTGGGTGACATTAAGGCCCCATCAGCTGAAGATGCCCCTGGGTAGTCCATAAGTGTGCATGACTCTTCCTGTGGGGACCTGCAGACACTGGGTGGTCTTAGGGGGGCTAGATTTAGATATAAGTGATCCAAAACCTTGTGTACCTAAAAAGGAGAGTGGCCTTGTCCCTATTATAAAGGGAAAAAAATTACTGAAGAGTTTCACACAGGGGAGACGCTATGGTCAAATATCAGATAGGGCATTTTCCTTTTCCCTTTCTCCTCACTTCTTCCTCTTTCATTTTCCATTTCTTTGCCTTCTCTCCTTCTCCTCTCTCTCCCTCCCTCCCTTTCTTCTCTCTTAATACACTATATTTTGTATATATGCCGCTTTAATTTGTATTTAGATATGAATGTTCAATGTTCTGTCTGTAAAAATACATTCTGGTGTTAGGGCCTCAGAATGTCTTAATCTGGCCCTGGATCTATTGAATGTCTTAATTCCTTTAGACGTAGCCCTGCCCCAGTGTGCCACAGGAGCGATTTGGTAGATGGAACCTTTAGTGTGGTTTAACATTTTAGTCCCATTTCCTTTGTCATGATGTTCTGCTTCTGACAGAAACTGCCAACTAGGTCAGAGACTGTTCCTGGCCATATCTTCACTCATTTACTGTTTATTAAGTGGCTCCTACGTGTGAGGCACCAAGAGATATACAACTGCCATTTAAATGTGATCTTGGCCTTCAGGGGACCATAGTCTAGGATAGTGGCCCCTAAGTGGGCATGGATCCCTCCGGAGGGCAATGGGGCTCATCTGATATGAGATATGGATATACATTGGACGGCTGATCACGCTGTGGGAAAGGTGTTCTTTTTTAGATTCTTTAACAATCCTGCTGATCGTTTTAAGGTGAAAGTCTCATCATGGTATTAGTTCATCTTTAACACCTCCCCAGTACTTGTTCATCTCCCTTTTAAATAGACAAAAAAATAGCAGACCTCAGACCCAGAGCCTTTGATAGGCGACAGATTCTAGCTGGACTTAATCATAGTGTTAGGTTTTCATTGTATTGTATCTTCTAATTGTGGTAAATATATGGTCAATTTAATGCATTGTCTTGACTGTGCTATAGAGTGCCCAGATATTTGGTCACACATTATTCTGGGTGTATCTGTGAGAGTGTTTCTGGATGAGATTAACATTTACATCGGAAGACTAAGTAAAGCAGATGGCCCTGCCTAGGTTGTGTGGGCCCCATCCAATCAGTTGAAGACCTTAAGAGAATAAAAAGGTTGACCCTCCCAAGAATAAGAGGGAATTATTTCCTTTGGGACTGCCTTGAGCTGGGACATAGTGGGTTTTTTTTCCTCCCCTTTAGACTGAAACTATAGCATCAATTCTCCTGGGTCTCCAGCTGGCTGATTAAAGATCTTGGGACTTGTCTGCCTCCATTTAAAGAGTTGCATAAAGTGTCTCTAGTCAATATATTTATTCAAATTAAAAAGAGAGCTTGTTTTTGAAAAGATATTAAGTAAATGATAATAGAGGTTGTAATAGATTTGGCAATCAAGCTGAAAAGAGTTTGGGAAATACAGAGGTTGGGAGAGGAATACAAAGAGCTGCAGAGCTTCGTAGGAAGAAGGAAGGGTCAGAAAGGCAGTGGCTGAAATCCTGACCCCTTGTGCTTCTCTCTGGGGCCCAGTGAAGGAGGCAAAGATGACAAGCCAGGGTACTGTGTCTGGAGTGTTTAAGGCAGCTGAGTGGCTGGTGTTGGGGTGTACTGACTGCTGTCACAAACAATCTCAAAACCTCAGCAATTGCACCCAATCAAAGGTCATTTCCCATTCACTCACATTATGTTTATTCAAAGGTTAGTAGGGGAGGGGATGACTCTGCCCCATGGCATTATTTGAGGGCCAGACTTCCCTTAGTGTGGGCTCCACAGAACAGCACATCCCATAGCACTTTCTGCAATTGTGAACTTGTTCTCTACCTGTGCTGTGGTGAGCAAGCATTTGAAATGTGGTTGGTGCAACTGAGGAGCTGAATTTTTAATTTTCTTTCCTATTTCTTTTTTGAGATGGAGTTTCGCTCTTGTTGCCCAGGCTGGAGTGCAATGGCACGATATTGGCTCACTGCAACCTCCACCTCCATGTTCAAGTGATTCTCCTGCCTCAGCCTCCTGAGTAGCTGGGATTATAGGCATGCGCCACCACGCCCAGCTAATTTTGTATTTTTAATAGGGGTGGGGTTTCTTCATGTTGGTCAGGCTGGTCTCGAACTCCCAACCTTAGGTGATCCCCCCCGCCCGCCTCAGCCTCCCAAAGTGCTGGGATTACAGGCATGAGCCACCATGCTTGACCAATTTTTAATTTTCTTTCATTTAAAGTAGTTTAAATTGAAATAACTGCATGTGGCTAGTGGCTACCGTATTAGTGCAGTCTCATTTGCAATCATCCATTGAGATAGATATAGAGATCGATAGAGAAAAGGGGGACATGAGAGAAAGAGAGAGAGAGGCTGGGGGGAGGAAGGAGAAAGGGAGGAGAGAGGAAGACTGAACAAGTCTATGGGCTGGGCCTAGAGGTGAAGTACACAGGTTCTTCACTTTCTTGCATTCCATTGTACTCACATCAGAACAATGTCATATGGCTGCACTGTATTCCACAGAGTGAAGTCCAGGTATGTGCCAGGAAGAGGGGGGATGGGTTTGGTGAGAATCTAGCCAATCTCTGCCACCACAAATCTGGCAGAAGAGAGTGGCAATATCTGGTGATAAGCAGTCTGGGGTGGGCACTGGGTGATAGCATAGGCAGATGGCATCAGAGAGGCTGGGCTGCTAGTGGCAGAGTTGTCCTGTGGCTGAGGTTCAGAGAGGGAATTAGCCTCTGAGTAGAAGGAAGCTATACCATGGAGAAAGTGGAGAACTGGAAGTATAGTTCCTTCTGAGACCTGGAGGAAGGATAGGCCATGGTCTCAGGAGCAAGGCAAAAGCCACCCAGAGAGGCAAGGAACAGAGTAGGCTATTTGGCAAGATGTCTGTCACTGAGTCACTGCGCATAGGAGGGCTGCCATGGGCTCCTGATATTTCCCTTCCCTTTGCTGTAGCTCCAAGGTGGGGAGGGGCTGAGAGAACAGAAGGGGCTTGGTGGGTCTAGCAGTGGGGAGAAGCGTAGTGGGAGGTGTTGCAGGGAGTCAGGCTGGTTATCGCAGAGTGAACTAAGGAGGGAAGAAGCTGCAAGGAGCTGTGGGAGAGTCATTCATTCATTGATTCAATCACTGATTCAACAAGCATGTGGAGCACCTACTGCGGGACAGGTAGAGAACAGGAGATTCTGGTGCAGTCTTTTCCACAGTGAGACATTTGGATGCACTTAAAAACCAAACCATATACTCTCAGCTATTTTAAAATTAGAAACGTACAAGCCAGACATCTTCACTCCATCCCCAAACTGCATCCCCTGGTCAACTCTCACCCCTAGGGTGAGAACCAGGGGTGGGATGGGAGTTGGGTGAGGTAGGACACAGGGATTTTAAATGCTGATATGGCTGAGCTGAATCAGTTGCATTGCAAAACTGCATGTGAACATGTCCTGCTTTTGCCAGGCACCGTGCTAAGTGTGGGCAGTTTTGTGGAGGAGGTGACACCTGAGCTGGGCTTTGAAGGAGAGGTGGGATTTGACAGGTAGAGATGGAGGGGAGAGCAGTCTAGGCAGAGGATGTAGAATGAGCAAGCTCACAGGGAGGAGAAGCGTGGGTGTGTGCACAGGAGACCAGAGTAGACCAGTTGGGCAGAGGGTGAGTGGGTGCAGTGAAAGATACAGCTGGAGAAATTTGCTGGGGCCAGGTTAGGAAAGGTGGTGAATGCCAGGCGAAGGGGATAGCTTTTATTCTAGGACTAGTGGAGGCTGCTGAAGGATTCTGAGCAAGGCAGTGGCATAACCAAGCTCTGGAAATGTGCAGGGCTGGATCGGAGAGAGGGCCAAATAGTGACAGACATGGTAGGAGGCTTTTGCAATGCACTGGAGAGGGTCCTGGACAGCTTGGACCCATGTGCAGGCAGAGGCCATCGAGAGGGCTGTGTGTGTTGTGTGTCTGTGTGTATTTGTGTGTGCATGCATGTGCATGTGCAGGGGAAGTGGGGAAAGGGGTTAGGTATTAAAAACTCTAATGCAGGATTTGGTTTCACAGCTCAACAAATATGTCTTTGTGTCTACTCTGCTTGCTTGGACATGCCTGGCTTTTGGTTGTGTGGACAGGTCAAGAGAGTGGGGGCATTTCACACATCACCATCCTTTTCTAGAAGAAAAACTCAAGGACTGTGCTGCTTGCTTAGGTAAAGAGGTGGATACTGCTGATTTCTTCTGAAACAGCAACTTCAATCTGAGAGAGAGGCTGCAGCTCAGATGGAAGTCCCGTGAGTCTGTGTCTTGGAAGATCAAGAAAGGGCAAGAATGGAAGGTGCTTTTCAGCTTGGGTCTCCATGGGAGCCACACCCAGGCTAAAGGAGAAGAGAACACAGGTGAATATAGAGGCTGATGGAAAACAAAACAGCAGCAGTGGTGGCAACGGCACTGAGCCAGATGAAAGCACAGTGGTGAGCAGGTTAATTCCCCCTGGCTGTCTGGATGCCTGAAATGGAAGCATAAACATTATAGAATTGGATGTTTTGCATTACATTACAGGCCTGCCTATGCAGGGGGTTGTGCTTTTTAAGGGGGAATTTGGTGAGTCAATTTGAGTCTATGGCAGCAACCTGATTCTTTTTTGCCAATGCCAGCTGGGGGTTTGGAAAGGGAGATTTCCTTTTCTACCGAAGACATTCAGTGTGGAAACCCAATGCAGCAGAGTAATAGGCATTCCATATAGGACTATGAAGGCAACAATTTCCTCATTGTGTGTATTTCCGTAATAGCTACAAGAGTCTGTCATTCTTGCCCTACATAAGTGCCCAATTACAGAGGTTTCAAAGAGGGAGAAAGTCTTCAAGGTACTTGGTTTTCGGGCCTTTTTTGATTCTGTTTTCATTTTTCATTGTGGTTTTAATCCCAAATGAAACTGGCAAGAAAAGGCAGCGTGTTATCTCAGCAAAGTTTATCTCCTGCTCATTCCGCTCAGGGAGAAGCTGGCAGAGCCTCCAGCAATCAATCCCTCCCTTCTCCTGAGTGAGTGGGCTACAAATGCATGGGCTGGGCTGGAGCCAGCCAGGCACCTACCCCTAGTTTGGTAGAGAAATCATGGCCTGATGATCAACAAAGCAAATTTACCGCCTGCTTTAGCAACATCCATCCTGCTTCTGAGCTCACAGTGAGGAATCCAGACCTCAGAGCAAATTCTCACCAACATCCACAGAGCGCCTCTTGCAAGGCCTTTCTTCACTTTCCTACATCCAGTCCTCAGCATATTGACCAGTCAGAAATGTGCCAATCATCTTTACCCACAAACGGTTTACTCAAACCCCAGCTCTGCTCTGTGACTTTGACAATTTGCTTAGCTCTTCTAAGCCTCAGTTTCCTCATCTGTAAAATGGGGGTCTGTAATAAAAATCCGGTTCCTGGGGCTGCTGTGAAGGCCAGATTGGTCCATTTGGGCCAAATGACTTCAGGAGCTGCGGTCTGACAAGGCTGGACATCCCTCTGCTCTGAATGACTGTGAGGGAATGGGGCAGATACAAGCTGGGTGTGACCTTTGCTTTAGCATCTGTGAGCTGTGAGACCTGGAGCAAGTTATTTCAGCTGCGGAAACTTTATTTTCTTCCTCTAAATAATGGGAGTAATAATAGCACCTAGGGCATAGGGTGGTGGGAGGACTGAATGTGACAGTGGATGTGCAAGAACAAGAGCTCACACTCACAGGGCACTCAGCACGTGGGAAGCATGGCTGTAAGCACTTTCCATGTGGGGCCAGTTGGCCAGGCGGGCATCCAACATTTATTCTGCACCTGTGACACCTAGCCCCATGCCAGGCAACTGGGACTGAATGAGGCACACGGCAGATGTGGTCTCTGCCCGCCCACGTTATGGGGCAGGGGAGGAGATGGGGTGACCAGGCACATGCCGTGAGAAGGGATGCATGCTGCAGTGGGGGATGGGGTTCGCATGAAGGAGACTTATTGCCTCTGAGAAACTCCTAGCTCAGCAGAGAGGTTAAAGAGGTTGGAGTCTTTCTACGGCTGGCAGTGGCTGCCATTCACCTTTAGGATCTGGAACTCTGAGCAGGGAGGCTGGTCAGCAGGGGTGAAATGGGGCTGCTCTTTGAGCAGGGTCTAAGCTGAGGAGCTGGAGCATGTGAAACACCAAGGTGTAACCCTCCAGGTGCACATATTTGAAGCTGCCGTTTCCTTGGCCAAAGCTCCCAGCCCGGGGGAGTCTTGTAGGGAGATACTGGCTGCTCTCATCCTGCAGATTTCAGGGAAGAGCAGGTGAAAGGGACCCCTAAGCCAGGGCTGATGGGCTCTCCAGCTACCCTTGAGCAGGCATTTTGTAGCAAGTATCTCTTCCTGTGAAACTCCCCTCCCAGACCTGCATTCCCAAGCAGCTCAGCATATGGACAGAATCTGCAGGAGGCCGGGGGAGTGGGGAGGGGTGTCCAGCCCAAAGCATGTCACAGATGCCCACGGAGAGCTGGGGAGGATTAGAGCGAATCATTAATTGTCATTAATATGCTGGGGCTTAACAGCCCTGGGTTTATTTTTACACTGAAGACCAGACGTGCCTTGCACATGTCCCTGGATTCTGGGCTCTGGGGGAGAAGGGAAAACTGGTTGCACTTGTCATCTGCCAGCCTCTCCAGGATTGGACAGTGGACCTTTGGCTTGGCTCCATGGCCTGGCAGAAACCATAGCTTCCAAGGAGCCCCTCACCCTCCTTCCTTTCTGGTTTTCTTCCTGTGGCTTGTTGACCTGTTGGCCAAGGGCCTCAGGGATGAAGGGAGCAGTCCAGACGGAAGATAAATGATGTCACAGAAAAGGCTGCCATTCAAGGGTTAAACTGCTACCTAGAAGAGTGATGTATCAAAAGGAAAGCCTTTGGCCAGGTGCGGTGGCTCACGCCTGCAATCCCAGCACTTTGGGATGCCAAGGCGGGTGGATTGCCTGAGGTTAGGAGTTCGAGACCAGCCTGGCTAACATAGTGAAACCCCGTCTGCACTAAAAATACAAAAAATTATCTCGGTATGGTGGCGGGCACCTGTAATTTCAGCTACTCGGGAGGCTGAGGCAGGAGAATCGCTTGAACCTGGGAGGTGGAGGTTGCAGTGAGCC
Source organism: Homo sapiens (assembly GCF_000001405.40). NCBI lineage: Eukaryota > Metazoa > Chordata > Mammalia > Primates > Hominidae > Homo > Homo sapiens. The sequence goes on along the minus strand of NC_000015.10, from coordinate 88,299,019 downwards.
AAGATTGTGCCACTGCACTTCAGCCTGGGCAACAAGAGCAAAACTCCATCAAAAAAAGAAAGAAAGAAAGAAAAGAAAAAAGAAAAGAAAAGCCTTTACAGCAGGACTTTTATAGATACTAACTTCTATAGAAGAAAAAGGAATTCTGGATCGCCCTTCCTTTCAAATAGTTATTGAAAACCCAAGGTTGCCTCTAAAATTGATTTTGTAATCCTTACGAGAAGCTGGTGGCTCTTGCTGGAGACACTCCTGTTAGCCAATATTGTCCTCTAAGGCTAGAGGCCCCATGAGGAGGTGGATATGGGGGTTCCATGAATCCTTGAAGAATTTCATTGAGCATTTACTCTGTGCCAGCACTGAGCTGGGCCTGGGAATTCATCACGCTGAGCACACTGGTTGTGCGTGGAAGTCTCCATCAGCAGACAGCAGTGGGGTCCTGTCTTCCAAGTGGTAGGCACCCTGTTATCTCTCCTTTCCCCATACTTCTGCCAGCTTTCCTTCTGGGGCTTTTGTCCTTTTCCTCTTTGCCGGCATTTGGGAGAACTTCATCAGTTTCTAGGTGGTTGAATTAGTTTCCTATGGCTGTTATAGCAAAACCATAAACTTGGCGGCTTCAAACAACACACATTGATTACAGTTCTGTAGGTTAGAAGTCTGACATGGGTCTCACTGGACTGGAATGAAGGTGTCTGCGTGGCTGTGTTCCTTTCTGGAGGCTCCATGGGAGAATCTGTCCCCTGCTTTTTTCAGCTTCTAGAGGTACACGCTTTCCTTGGCTTGTGATTTCTTCATCTATCTTCAAAGCCAGCAATGTTGCATGGCTCCAGGCCTTTCTTCCACAGCCATATTGCCGTTATTCTGCTTAGTGGGTTCTTCACTATTGTTTGGTAGCATTGCTAGCTGTTCCTCCTGCACCTGTGTTTGTGGGGATGCAGGGCTCCTGGCACGGTTGGACAGAGGATGGAAAAGCACCTTCATGTCCTGGAGAAGGAGCCCTGTGCTGAGTATTGGGTGGGAGGTGGTGCCTTCTGAGATCCCTCCCACTCCAAGGGTTGTGATTTGATGACTCTGTGTTATGGACTGAATTGTGCCCTCCTCAAAATTCATACACTCAAGCCCTAACTCCCAATGTGATTATACGTGGAGAGAGTGTCTTTAAAAGAGGTCATTAGTTGGGAGGCCGAGGTGGGCGGATCACGAGGCCAGGAGATCGAGACCATCCTGGCTAACACGGTGAAACCCCATCTGTATTAAAAATACAAAAAATTAGCCGGGCATGGTGGCGGGCGCCTGTAGTCCCAGCTACTCGGGAGGCTGAGGCAGGAGAATGGCGTGAACCCGGGAGGCGGAGCTTGCAGTGAGCCGAGATCGCACCACTGCACTCCAGCCTGGGTGACAGAGTGAGACTCCGTCTCAAAAAAAAAAAAAGAGGTCATTAGGTTACATGAGGTCATAAGGGTGGGCCCTAATCCAGTATGACCGATGTCCTTGTAAGAAGACGACGAGACACCAGGGATGAGTGTGCACAGAGAAGAGGCCACATGAGGCTACAGCAAGGAGGTGGCCATCTGCAAGTCAAGGAAACCAACCCCATTGACACCTCAGTCTTAGACTTCTAACCTTCAGACCGTGCAAAAATAAATTTCTGTTGTTGAAGCCACTGAGTGTATGGTATTTTGTTATGGCAGCCCTAGCAAGTAAGATAGCCAGGCTGGAAGACAGGATCAGTGTTCATCTCAGGCAACATTGCCATCTCACCTGGCTCAGTGCCCGTGGAGAAAGTTTACTGCTGGCGTGTGACCTAATGGCTCCGTTGATCCTTCCCCTCCCTCCCATCTATTTTCTGGGATCTTCTTTCATTCAAAGGTGAGTCTTTGGAACAAACATCACTTTCTTTGTCTGAATTCTTGTGGGTTATTTTCTGAGTTCTTGAAGGTTTATTGTGATTCATTTGAGGGTGTCCTTGATGAAACCAAGAACGACCCACAACTGGAAGTCTCCTGGATATGGTTTGTAGTGGAGAGAGTCTGAAGACCTTTGTGAGGGTCACTTAGAATACTTAAAACAACATGATTTCATCTTGGATCTCACTTGTCTTACCTTGAAACAAAGACGCAAGATTAGATCAGGGATGGCAAAGAGGTTTGCCAGTTCCAATTAATTCAGAGTGGTTGCCTGGGACTAGCAGGAAAGAATGCTACCACCAATTAGCCATGTCTGCAAAGGGATGCAGGAGGAGAGAAAGGTAGCATATATATCACGTATCTGCCATCTCAGAATCAGAGTCTTAAATTAAGGTCTCTTCCAGCTCAAAGTTTTTAAGACCCTTGCTGATCAGAGGTTCATGCAGACCCAGGATCCAAATGTTGCCTGGTATCTTGTCTGGAGTAATATTTCTACCCTGCTGCCTTGGACCACCCACACTCTTGCAGTCTCCTGCTGCTTCCCTTTCATTTGCTCTCTCTCCTTGCTGGCACACGAAGTCTTGGGGTACCCATTCCAAGCTTTCCTCTCACTGCTAATTAAGGCATTTCTTCGGAGCCCTATTGTTTAATGACTCACATTGCCCTTCAGCCCACATCCCCCAGGCCCCCTTTGGGATCCAACTCTGATTTCATTAAGATTTGTTCTGTTGCCAGTGGCCATCAGTGGAAGATCCGCTTTTAAACTGGAAAACCACTCAAACCTTTTGAAGTTGGTCCTCAGCAAAGTCCAATCAGAGGGAACGTAAGGGTTGATTTTTTTTTCTTTTAAAGAAAAGAGTGCTCTGTGTGTGTGTGTGTGTGTGTGTGTGTGTGTGTTTCCCCCCAAAGAAAGCGTTTCAAATGCTCATTAGGCAAAAATATCTATTTTACATGCACTGTAATTGTTCTATCTAAGATGAAATATATTATTTTTCTTAAGTAAAGCTACAGGCAGTTTATTAGCAGAGCTTATTAACCCACAATCAGGAACTGGCTCACCTCTAATCACAACCTGCCTGCATTCTTCACAGGCAATGTGGTAGTGCTACAGCACTTATATTTATAAATATGTGCAATGCAATATGAACTATATTTATGGGGACAGCATCAATTTTTTTAGCCACAAAACCTGACCTCCCTAAAACAGATGGTGAGAGAACTGGACTGCCGATCTAGGGCTGGAGATGGAGACTCTTCATCTCTTTAGCAAGAGCTTTTTTTTTAAAAAAAAACAAAAACAAAAACAAAACAACCTATTATCCTGTTAGGCCTTTTCCTTCCAGTGAGTATTTCCAAGTGAAGGGTTGTCTAGTGCACTGTGTGTTGCAAGCCAGCTGTCTCCTGGTGGGTGGGCATCAGCCTCTTCTTCACCTCCCTCAGTTCCTCACTGCAGGGAATGAATGAAGGTAGCCCCAGTGAGACTGGCAGGTGTCTTGGCCAAGGGAGATTGTCTGAGGAAGGTGAACAGGTCTGCTGGGGCTTGGGCAAAGGTCAAGCTGAAGGAATTCCTCCCAGCATTCAGGGAACTCTGCCAGTCAAGGCAGAAATTGTCCCATTGGTGGTAGGTGGCACATATTAGGTTAGTTTAAAGGGATATCTGCCAGAGACCTTGGAATGCTCATGTCTTGACCCAACAACGATGCTTTGGCAGGGTTTTAAGACATTGAGTGGGAGTAGAGAACCAAATAGGAATAAAGAATCACTTTTGCTGGACTCTATGATAAAGAGTGCCTTAAAGCCTGAAAGCACATCTTAGGTGTTCACTAACTGTGGCCAGCTGAACAGAAGGCATTGAAAGAAAAACAGCCAGGTCCCAAGAGGATCCTCTGTATAGACTGGAGGGAAGAGACAGCTGAGTGTAGACACACAGTAACCTCAGGCACCCTAGTGAATGCTCTGTACCCGGATGGATTCGATGGCTATTTCTTCCTGCGGTGGAATGGGGTAGTTGTGAGGTAAGCAGGAAGGAAGATGCCAAGGGAATCTAATTCTTAATAAAAGTAATTGCTTATTTGATGAAAGGGGGGAAGGGAGGAAGGAAGGGAGGGAGGGTAGGAGGAAAGAAAGAAGCGACATTCAGAATCTAGTATATGTCAGGCAGTATGTCAAATACTTTTATACCCGTTATTTCACTTAATTCTTCAACCCTTTGAGGCAAAATGTATCACCTTCATTTTATGGAAGTGGAATTAACATAGAATCTTTTTAAAAATCAGCATTTGGACCCAGGCCCATCCAGATCTCTTTCCACCTACCATTTTTCAGGTATCCCCTTAAGTGAGAAGTGTTTGCTTGTTGAATAATGCGACCACAAGGCTCTTAATGTACTTCTAATCCAGACCCTTGTTCTTTACATCAATGGGGTAAAATTTCCCTGTCGATTCAATCAGGGGAGTCTCAAAGGTTTCATAGCGTCTCTAGTTGTATCAAGCCTAGCCTCTGCCTATATGAGGCTCTGGTGACTTCACCTAAGTTAGAAGGGAAAGCCTGTCTGGGCACTGTGGCTCACACCTGTAATCTCAGCACTTTGGGAGGTCAAGGAGTTAGAGGCTGGCCTGGCCAACATGGTGAAACTCCATCTTTACTAAAAATACAAAAATTCGCTGGGCATGGTAGTGTGTGCATGTAATCTCAGCTACTCAGGAGGCCGAGGCAGGAAAATTGCTTGAATCCATGAGGCAGGGGTTGCAGTGAGCCGAGATTGCGCCACTGCACTCCAGCCTGGGTGATAGAATAAGACTCCATCTCAAAAAAAAAAAAAAAAAGAAAAAGAAAAAAAGTTGTCGGGGGGAACCCAGCTATTGCGTTTATTACATAACAGATAAGTGTAGGCATACTATGTCAGTTGGCCTTAACTTCCTGGCAAAGCCAAGGGGTATTCCTGTAGGGACAAGAGATAGGGTATAGAGATTCTCCGGTTTGTGGTAGGCGAGAGATTTCAGTAGAAAGGAATGGAGACTCTCAGCTCATTTGTATCCAAATACTGTGCCAAGGTTTCCTTTTGTCCCCTATGGTAGAAGAACTGGCTCTCTTGGGTGGTATCCACTGCCCTTTTCTGGCTTATTTGTTTTCAAGGCTGGGAATAGAAGCATCTGGGATGCAAACTGGATGGGGGCCATGCATGGGGCCAGAAGGTGCATCTCAGGTGCCAAGACTGGACGGCTGGAGGAGCATCTACAAAGTGCTGGGGGCCTGGGACAAAGAGTGGGATCCACATGGCAGTGATAGCTCAGGTAGAAGCCAGGAGCAACCAGAGCAAGAAGTCATCAGTCAGAACAGGTGAGCTGGAAAAGTTTTAGAAGCAAGATCCAGTGCCCTGTAATGGAGTTTATGTGTGAGTGTGGCTATGGGTACACCAGGATCACTCTTTTTTTTTTGGTGGGAGTCTTTGAAATGAAAGCTCAATTCCTTTTAGGGTCACATGAATTCACTCAAATAAGGTTGTATCTTTTGAGCCTGGGCAAGACATCACAAACTTACCCTGATGAAACCTTCTTCTAAAATCACTATTCTCCAAATTTATGAGATTGGTTGGAAATGTGAGGAGAGAGAAGCAAATCAATAGATAACCAAGTTATTCTTTGGGTCCTGCATCCATCTCCTCTTTCTTGGAAAGTTTTCCTGTTACTTGTCAGAAAAGGAGTTCAAGAGGTAGGTGTACCAGATGTACGAGGAATGAGTAGCTCAGTGCTTGCAGTATTAATGTAAGTCTGGCGATAGGGTGCGAGGCCTATATTTAAAAACACAGATTCCCTTCTCTGAACTTCACCTTCCCTAGGTGTGAAATGAAGCAGACGAGTTGGCCATCTCAGTAAAGAGCTGAAGCACTGGTTATTAGTTATGACAACAAAATGTCTCAAAAGCTGTGTTGCATAGGTGAACCTTGAAGACATTGTACTGAGTGAAATAAAACAATCACAAAAGGCCAGATACTTATGTTTCTATTTATATGAGGTACCTAGAGTAGTCAGAATCACAGAGACAGAAAGTAGAATGATGGCTTCCAGGGGCTGGAGAGAGTGGGGGATGGGAAGTTATTGCTGAATGGAGACAGAGTTTTTTGGGAAGAGGAAAAAAGTTCTAGAGATGGATGCTGGTGATGGTTGCACAACCATGTGAATGGACCACTGATGCATACACTTAAAAGTTCTAGAGATGCGTACACTTAAAAGTTCTAGAAAAAAGTTCTAGAGATGGATGCTGGTGATGGTTGCACTACCATGTGAATGTACCACTGATGCGTACACTTAAAAATGATTAAAATGGTAAATTTTACATTAAGTGTATTCTACCATAACTAAAGAAAAAAGCTATATTGTCTACAAGAGGGCCATAAGGTCAAGAAGCCCAGTTTATAAGACTGAGGCATGCCCTCGAACAGGTGCACAGGTCAGCCCCCTGTTCTAGACAGGCTCACCATGGCCATCAATGGACTTTTAGGCCACCTGTTCTTAAATGTGAAAAACAGCAGTGGACTTCTTCTCTCCAAGAAAAACAAAACAAAACAAAACTTTGTCACAAATTCCATTATATGAAGCAGACAATGAAGAGATCACAACTTCGTGGAGCGAGAAGCCAGGCACAAAAGCCACAGTGGCACAAAGTGGGATGAGGTCAGCATGCGTGTCCCACCCTAGGGTCGCAGGTGGGTGTAGCAAAAGGAGAGGCCACTGGCACCATGTGATGCTTGACACCAGAGAGCTGTGTGAGCTTCGTGTCTCTATCCTTGGTGTGAGGTACGGGCTTCCATCAAGTGTGTCTCTCTGGCCACAAGGAGGCAAGGCCATGATGCAGCGGAACCTACCCCCTCTCCCAGCAGCCTGGTCCACGGCCCCTTTTGCAGGATTCCCTCCTGCAGGATGCCCTGTAGCATCACCCCCAAGGATAATCTGGGAAAGCTTCTGCTAGGCCAGCATCATCTCTGCTTCCTAAATAAGGAACCTAGTTGGCCTTGGCCAGAGATGACATCCTATATTGGCCCCTTTCATGGACCTAAAGCATCTGGATGGATCAAGAACTCTTTTGGTTGCAAGTGACAGAAACCAAACCCAAAGTGGCTTAAACTCGAATAAAACTTATCAATTCAGTGTGTAACTGAAACTTACCAGTTCAGTGTGTAACTGAAATGTCAGGTACAGCTGGCTCCAGGGGCTCAAATAATGCCGTCCGCTTTCTTTCTTTATCTTGCTTGCTTACTCCACAGTTTGTTTTCCATTTATCTTCCTCTCTCTCTGGCAGACCCTCTCCACATGATGACTGTTGGCAGCAAGAGGCTCATGTCATGCCTCTGCCTGGCAGTCCGTCCCAAGTTTTCTTTTTCTCAACAGGATTTACTTTCCAGCTCATGCATTAGCTATTGGCATGGCCAGGGGTCACGAGTGGAATACTCTGATTGGCCAGGCCTGGGACACTTGCCACCCGAAGCCAGGGTGTGAGGCCAGTGCCACCCCCAACCATGGGTGGAGCATGAGGGAGGAATTGGTCCCTGGAGAGGAAGTGGGTACAGTGACCAGAACAGGAAGCAGAGACCAGTCAGGCAGTGATGAGAGACACACCTTTCCAAGCCCATTGTGACAGGTGTGAGAAGGGCATGAGAAGCTGCCCAGGGCTTAGGAACTCTCTAAGCTCCTGTCTCTCTGCTTCTCCTGCCCTGACCCACTGCCTTCAGTGTCTCCCCTGGTGTCTGGGCCCATTTTGGCTTTTCTCCTTGACTTCTACTCTCTCTCTCCAACCCTGGGGTTGGTGACCTCAGTTCAGATGATTCGGTGTGGCTGGTAACTGACCCTCCCTCATGATAGGACTTCCATTGTCTGCCCTGTGACTGCACTGGCCTGCCCCAGCCCACCACCACCCGACACAAGGATGGGGGTGAAGTGCAGGACCACAGGGACGGTGCCCTAGTTTAGAGGAACTCACATTTGGGAGGCTTCAATTTCACCTTCCTCACCCTGCCAAGATTCAGAGCCTCAAACTCTTTCTCCCCCTTCCAAGTTATTTTCTTCGTTTGTCAGGTCCCTGTTGTGATGTGTGGCATTTGCTGCTGAGTGGTGTCGGTTTGTTATTTTCACCCTGTTTTGTGCCCTGACACTTCCCAGAGGTGCAGGCATATTCTAAAATAATGAGCTCCCCATGGCCAAGAGAGCCTGACCCCTCTGCAGTGGTTTCAGCAGCTCTGGTCTCCAGGAGGGGACCAGGAGTTTTGCTTGGGGCCCAGTGCTGGAGGGGCTGGGATGAGCCCACTGGGATAGAAGAGAATGTCCTGTGGGGGTGCAGAGGGCCAGAGCTGGAAGGTGTCTGGGTGGAGGTGAATATCACAGGTGTAGGTGGCTGGGCCTCAGAGGTGCTGCTCTGGGTGGCAGCACCAGGTCCCACCCAGGCAGACTAGAGGTCATTGAGTGCATCAGGCCCTGAAGAAACCTGCTCATGATGGCTAAACTCTCCAGGAGCCCCAGAGTGGTGGTGGCTGATTTGCCGTGAAGGATCTGGGCAGGGTGGGGTGGGGCCGGATGAGGGGGCTCCAGATCAGAATGCACACAGGTGAGCCCCTGCCTTGCCAGTGTCAAGGTACAAGGGATCCTTCCATCATTTGAAGGTGGTTCCATGTCCGTGCTGGTGGCATGTGCTTCCAAGATCCAGCTGGAAGGAGATTTCTTGCCCTGTGGGGTCCTGTGTCCTTACGCCACCTTCTGTGGCTGTTGGAGAAGGGTATTCCTCCATGGTGGGGCACATGCCTACCATCCCTGGACAGAGAAGGCCTTGGGGCTCTTTGAAGCCACCCACTCCAGTTCTTCCTCCTCTTTTCCAGTTCCCACAAGGCCTCCCTCCTTTGCTGGTTCTGGCCACAGTAATTCACTGTTTGAATTCAATGGTATCCCGTTTAACTGTTACCACTCCCAAGTGTCAGGTGATGCTTCTTTGATGATGAGGCAAGATCCAGTCGTGTTGGAAAGAGGACAGCCGTGAGCTCTGGAGTGAGGTGGACGTGGATTCATGTTCTGGCTGCACCTCTCACAAGTTAAATGACTGGTGTGAGTCACTCAGCTTCTGTAAGCCTTAGCTTTCTCACTGACAAAGTGGGTTGATAGAATTGCCCTCTTTTCAGGACTGTTGTGAGGATGAAATCAAGCAAACATTGATTCCTTCACTAAGTATTTACTGCATGCCTAATACCTGCAAAGTGCTGTTCTAGGCACTCCGTTGCACTCATGAAACAGTTCCAGTGGATGGGATGCAAGCAATGCATATAAAAATCCTTGGCAAAGAGAAGGGGGGGGGGGTGCCCTGATGGTACCACACAGTGGGCCGTGGCTTTTGGAAGGATTTCTATTGCTGCCAATGCTGTTGGAGACTCTGATGCAGACCTGCCCCAGAGTCTGGACTGGACAAGCCTTGCCAGCTGGTGTGGGGCAGGGTGAGCAGTCCTGCCCCCTCACTTCAGGGTGAGTCTTTGCTTTGCTGACTAGAGGGGCTGGTTTCCTGGAACTCCCTGAGCTTTTGTCCTCAGGACTCTTCCCACAAGCCTTTGCAGTCTCGTTCTTCAAACTCAGTCCAGGTGAAGATGATGGTGTGTGATTCATCAGCCCAGAGTCAGAGAAGGCTGATAGCTAGGCGGCCTGTCTTTGCCCCAAGAGGTGGGCTGAGGTTGACTCTTGCTGCCCAACATCCTGGGTACATGCACTTGCATGCACGCACACACACACACACACACACACACACACACACACACACACACACACACACACACACACTGTTTCCCACACCATCTGCTGTGAGGCCCTCCCTTCCCCAGGATGCTCTTCCGTGGATGTAGCACTGACCATGACCTCACAACACAGCCATATGTGACCCACTCAGGTGCCCTTCAAGCAAGGAGTGAAAGAGAGGGGCCAGCCAGATCCAGAGAGAAAGAGAACCCCGTTGACTAGCTTTTGAAGGTTCCTTTTGGATCCAGGGCCTTAGCTGCCTCTTCCTTGGGGTCTCTATAGGTGGAAGGTAACACCCTTGTTTCAGCCCTACACGACCCCTCAGCTTGCCTGGATTGTCCCCAACTCTAAGACCTCACCCTGGAGGCACAGTCTCTGGACCTCCCCATACCCTCTTCCTCCTAGGAGGAGAGTTGAGATGCTAAAGAATAAAGGAGAAATGGGGCTCAAGATACCAGTGGGTGGGGCAGGCTGGCAGGGAGCCACTGCTCTCCCGGGGCAGGTTTTTCTTGTTCTTTCTACACGACTCCCTAGGACACCACGGGTGGCTATTTGACCCTGGAGCACTGGACTTCTCCAGAGAGGTAAGGCCTCTCCTGCAGCCCTAGGTCTTCTCCACTACAGCCAGAAATTTAATTTGTAAAGATTTTCCCTGGCCTGAACTATGGCTCCCTTACCTTGTCTCTCTGGCTGCTGCTGAAGCTGGCTCCTCCTCTTTTCTCTCTGTTTTCAGATTTCTTGGATGAAATTGATTCTCTCTGAGACTCTCACCCCAAATGCAGCTCAGAGCAGAAGGGTCAGCAAATATTTTTTTTCTCCAGCAGGCTATCTCTCTCGTCTGATGAGCAGTGCCCATGAAACCCTCAGATCTGGTGTTTGTGCATGCATGTATGTGCATGTGTGTGCATGTGCATCCACGTGCGTGTATGTGCATGCATGTGCATGTTGTATGTGTGTATGTGCATGCGTGTGCATGTGCGTTCATGTGTGTGCATGCCTGTCTATGTGTGGGTGCATGTTTGTGTATGTATGTGCATGTTTGTGCATGTCTGCATGTATGTGCATGTGTGCGCGCGCGTATATGTCCGTGTGGGTGCACATGCATACATGTCTGTGCATGTGTGTGCATGCCTGTGTATGTGTTTGCATGTGTGTGCATGTCTATGCATGTGTGTGCATGTGTGTGAGATGAATGTGGTGAATGAGAAGGAATCCAGGGAGAGGATGCAGCTTTTTTAACAGAGGTGAATGTGATGCCCCAAAAGACAACAGCTCTGTCCTTCCAAGACTGGCCAGAGCAGGCTACAGCAGCAGGCTCTCCTTTGGCATCTGAGTGAGCTGCCCCTTCCCCCTGGAAACTGATGGGGGAAGGGAGAGGCAGCTTCTACATGTAGAAGGGCCAGGAACAGAGATTTCTCGGTAAAACTCATGTTCGAAACATAACATTTTCCCCAACTCCTCCTCTCTCTCTCTGTTCATTCCTCAGAGGTTGCTGCTGAAGTCTTTCTAATGCCTCTGCCTTGGCCTTCGTTCTGTTCCCATGGCCTTGAGTGAATACCTAGACCTGCAGGGCCCTGCAGTAAGCTTCCAATAGGACCCTTTTCTCTTCTCGTGCATCCTTCAATCCCCTGACTGCCTAGGGTTTCCAGAACCTGCCCCACTCTTTCTCACCTGTGCCTTTACTGACAATCCTCCTGCCACCCTGTCCCTCTCGCCTATCTCATCCCTTTTCTTTATTCCAGGCCACATTCTGCTCTTCCCATGAGGTCTCTGTGGACTGCCCCCTCTATCAAGGTCTCTGCTATTAATTTGCCAAGTCTGCCACCTCGATCAGTCAGGCTGGGCAGTGTGGACTGCGATGCATTACCACTTACTCACTGTGTGATATAGAACCAGGCTTTTGAAAACTTTTCTGAGCCTCAGCTTTCTCATCGGGAAAATGGAACCTACCTCATAGAATTATTGTAAAAAAAATCCATGATATAATATATATACAAATTCTAGTGGCTCGAACTTGTAATCCCAGCACTTTGGGAGATCAAAGTGGGTGGATCGCTTGCGCTCAGGAGTTTGAGACCATCCTGAGAGACATGACAAAACCCTGTCTCTACAAAACATACACAAGCTTACTCAATCTAAATTTTGGTGGTGGCATGTGACTGTAGTCCCAGCTACTTGGGAGGCGGAGGCAGGAGGATTTCTTGAACCCAGAAGGTCAAGGCTGCAGTGAGCAGAGATTGCGCCACTGCACTCCAGTCTGGGCGATGGAGTGAGATCCTGTCTCAAAAAAAAAAAAACATTCTAATACTGTGACTGGCACATAGTAGGATCTCAATTACTAGAGGTTCCACTCCCTTTGTGGACATGGGCCATTTCTTCAATGAGAGTTCAAAGCTCTGGAGAACAGTGACTGAATCCGATTGTATCTCTGAGTTCCCAATGCTTAAGCATTTGATAAATGTGGTTTGCAGTCTCTGATCTAGCTCCTGTCTACCTCTCTGGGACTTTCTCTCATTGCTTCCTCTTTTCTTTACTCCAACAATCCTGAAACTGCCTGTCATCTTTCTAGAGAAGGTTTCACAGTTTCTCAACATTGGTACTATTGACATTTTGGAGTGGAGGCTGTCCTGTGAATTGTAGGCTGTTTAGCCGGTGGCACCCCCAAGTTGTGACAACCAAAAATGTCTCCAGATATTGTCAAATGTCTCCTGAAGGGCAAGATCACACCATGTTGAGAGCCACCATTGTAGAGCTTTGCAGAGCTTTTCTCTTAGAATTTTATGCTTTTCTGCATGCAGTTGCCTCTGCTGAGCACTGACTTCACCTGCTCACCTAGTGAACTCTTAATCACCTGTTGAAGCCCAGGCCAGATATCAGTTAGTGGGAGAAGTCTTCTCTAATCCCCACAGAGGCCCTTCTAAATCCCACATGTTTTCATGCTTCCCACTCAGCCATTCTTCATCAAATCACATTGCCATTGCCTATTTTTGTGTCACTGTCTTATGCATTATAATTTGACCTCTTGAAAGGCAGAATTTGTGATTTACTCATCTCTTTATCTTTAATACATAATCTAGGGTGTAGAATACAGTGGGTGGTCAAAATAATGAAGAGAAAGATGGGTAGAAGGCTAGAAAGATTAATGAATGGTAGATAGATTGATGAATGGGTGGATGGATGGGTGAGTTGATAGATAAATTTGTAGGAAGGTAAATGGGAGAGCAATCGCATGGAAAGGTGGGTAGAAGGATGGATGGAATTTACAAATAAATTAATAAGTAGAGGAATGAATAGATGTGTGATTTGATGGATGAATGAGAGGATAGGCAGATGAATGGGTCAATAGAGAAATGACTGGGTAGATAAATAAATGGGTGGGTGAGTAGATAGATGGGTGAGTAAGTGGATAAATAGATGGATGAGTGAGTAGGTGGTGGATGGGTGTGTGAGTGAATGAATATAGGTGGGATGGATGGAAGGATGGGTGAAATTTATGACGGAGTCAATGAATGCATGAATGGATAGGTGTGTGGTTTGATGAATGGATGGGAGAATAGATGAATGGGTGAATGGATAGATGGATGAGTAGACAGATAAATAGGTTGGTGGGTAGACGAGTGGGTGGGTGGGATAAATGGATGTATAGGTGTGTGAATGGGTGAATTTCTGAGTGAATTAACCCTTTCAAAAGATGAAAGGAGTTTTTGAATGGGTGCATGCATGGTTGGAATGAAGATAAATGGAACAATATATGAACAAGTCAGTGAAGAATAGGGCACATTTTCCTGTGCTTATCTCTTCATTTAGACAACCTGGAGGGAGAAACTGAGTTAGAGGGGTGGGGACATCCCAGGGGTCTGGAATTCTGAGGGAACCCAAAAGTTTCCTTCCTTTAAAAATCGCTCTTACATTGGGTTCCGACAGGCTTTTTTAGGAGGGGGTTTTGGGGGTCCCATTTTAAAAATGGAAATTGAACAATGTGCAAGTCAAAGTCATTAGGTGTGGAACTCAGCTTTCTAACTCCCAGTCTGCTATTCCTTGGGAAAGCATGCCCTACCTCTGCCACTGAAGCTCAAGACAGGCTGGCCAGGGACTGGCAAAGTCTTAGAGTTGCCTTGAGGGTTAAATTCCTCAACACAATGTCTGGCACGTGGAAGCCACTCAATGAATGTCAATTCCACTGAGAGACTGGGGCCGCAGAGCCATGGGGTGTCAGGCCAAGGACAGTCTCATTCTGGATTAAAAGGAGACAGAAGCCTCAGGGCTCAAGGCTGATCACCAAGAGATGGAAGGGTGCGGAGACAGATTCTGGAAAGGTCAGCCACAAAGAACACTGCCCAGAGCTGGAACCAGGGAGCCTGAGCTGGATGCCAGGGACTAGAACTGCTGGTGACAGACTCTGCCAGCACCACCAGGCTCAGTAGCCAGAGCTTCAGGCTTAATCTGCCTGAGTCAGCAATGCAGGACTCAGACCCGTATGCCAGGCGCAAGGCTCCCTGGACCCAGGCAAGGAGGAGGGTTCCTAAATTAGAATCGGAGTGCAAAGCTGGGGTCACACCTCAGAGCAAGGGTCAAGTGGGGAGCTGCTGCAGTCGGCGCGCCGGGGCGGCTCTGACAGGCTGGTGAGGAGCCGCCACCTTTGCCTCTGTTTACAGAAGGCAGACTGGAGACCTGTGACCCGGACACATGGCTCAGTGGGGGAACCTCACTCCCGTGGGGCCCTCGGGGCATGGAGCAGAGGCCCATTTAGCTTCTTGCAGAGAGAGGGGGTGGGGGGCAGGGTGAAGGAGGAGAGCTGCAAGGGGCTGGGCTGGGGGACAGGCAATTAAGGCTGCCTGAGCTGCCAGCAGAGCTGATGCACGCCCTCCCCCTTGCGCTGCAGAGAGGGCCCCTTCCTTCATTAGCTGCTAAGCTGCTCCCCATCTCTAGCACCTCGGTGTGGCCTGGAGAGGCAGGGATGGGCAACCAGCCTCAGGTGGCATGGGAGCTGATTAATAAAAACACACAAAGATGAAGGCTGTGCCCACTTCCACTCAGCCAGCTATCTCAGATATCCAAGGCTCTTCCAGCCCCTTTTCTTGAAACGGTTTCCTTGCCTAGGGTCAGAAACAGGCTTGTGGACTCCAGCCCTTTGGCCAGAACCTGAGGCATGGTGGGAGGGACATTAGGAAAGGAGGGAAGCCCCAGAGGTTCCAGTTTGAATTCCGTGACAATGCATATCTGATTGGTAGGGCGTGTTGGAGAATTGAAGATAATTTTGAAAAACAGCTCATATTTTTGAGGGATATTCAGGTTCTCTTGTACCCCTCTGCATATATCATGGTTTAGTCAATTAAGTACAAATGATATTAATAGAGCCCTATGCCTGGGGTGCTGGTGCCCTGACAGGCTGCACCCTGGAAGGCAGGTGAAGCTGGGCAGGGTGCCCTTGAGTCCTAGAGCACAGGCACACTGGTTGACTTTGCAAATGCTGGCCACTGCTCACTTGAAGAGGGTAAAAAGAAATCTGGCACGATCCAAGGAAGCCTGGAAGTTTCCAGAACAGGGGTGGTTGCTAGGTTCCTGTGGAAACTTTGGCTGCAGCCTAAACTTGAAGCTCCCCATCTGTTGGAAGATGGGGGACACTCTCTGGACTCTGGATGGATGGATGGAATCTGCCTGGAATATGAAGATGGCTCTGTGTATCTGTGCAGCCCCTGAGGGAGTGGGTGTGCGAGGCTGAGTGCCAATTCCTCCCTCTGAGGCAGCTGCCTGCGTAAGGGTCCTGGCTCTAGTGGCTGGGCTGATGCATAAAGAACTGGGCCTTGTGGTCTCTGTTTGAGGTGCAGAGAATCTCAGAGTGGGCAGAGAGCTTGGAGACACCTGGCTCTTCCTCTCCATTTTATAAACTGGGAACATGGATGCCTAGTATGGAAAATAACCTGATGGTAATCTAGGAAAGCTAAATGCAGAGAAGAACCTTATCCTGAGACTGAGGTCCTGAGAGAAGCTGGGAGCCCCCTAAAACAGAGTGCAAAATTATCACAAACGTGTGCATTTTCCTGGAGAATGGTTCTGGGGAGTGTCTACACATCTGCAAGGTGCCCAACACCAGAGCTGGTTAGAATGACTCACCTAACAGTGGAGCACGGGACGGAGGTGTGTTCACTGGCACGAGGATGGAATGAGGTTTGGGGGGCTGGGGGTTAGGTGAGCTGCTACCAGCCTCAAAAGGGAAGGGAAAGGAGGCTCTGACAGCACCATCATCCGCTGTGAGCCCCCTCTAAACAGGCCTCCACCTGCTGTGCCCCCCACCCTGACTTCACTTTCCTGAAGGCATGCAAGACCCCAGATGAGGAGATGTGTTTGTGGCCAGACCAGAGCCCTTTTGTTAAGCAAACACAGCAGCCCTCCATTTAGCAGAAATAGCTCTGGAGCAAAGAGAGGGAGGGAGTGTGTCCACAAACCCATTTGCCGTTTAGGTGTCAGAAATAAATTTTACCACTGGAGTCTGTAGCATCTGATTAGTGAATTATTCAGTTGGGATATTGCGTTCCCTCTGACCTCATTAGTAACCCTGAGGTGAGAGGGATGCATTAGAGTAACCACCAGGCTGTCACGGAGGAGCAGAGTGGGGGCATTAAAGTGGATTAAAGTGCTTTACCAAGAACTACGGCACAACTCATAAAAACAGGGCATTGTTAAACCAGGGCTCAGCAAATAAACAGGCAGACGCCACTGGGGAGGGGGAGGGGAGGGGAGGACAGCAGGGCAGCGAGGAGGTGGGTGAGGGGGCAGAACTTTGTAGCAATGTTGGCACTTCTGCCTACCAGCTGATGGCATTGGGACCCAAGTCTGGGGAGAGGGTGCTCCCTGAGCCCGGCTTAGTTGATTTTTTTGTGTTATGCCCTTTTATATACCTTCCATGGTTGTCCTTTTTGCCCTCTTTTGCCACTGGGTCTTAAAGTCCTGTAGAGTTGACAAATTTAGAGTGAATAAGACCTCAATGAGTGTCCACTGTGTTTTGGTTTCTAAGTAGGAGTTTTCCATTTTAATAAAACTTCTTTCTGCCTCCCGTTGATAAAGTAGTCAGCTAGCGGAAGGGGTGGCTGCCTTGACACCTGGTTCCCCAGTGCTCCAGTGTTCCTATCTACCTCATAGAAGAGAGCTCCCATCCATGCCTGGCCCCTGTATCTGGGAGATGTGCCAGAGGATCAGGCTGATTTATGGATCAAAGAGGGCACATTGGGTGGGTGGGTGTGATCTTTTGTTCCTCCCAAGGAATTCACATCCCCTTTGGGAGACCCATGGGGCTTTTTGCACTCCATATAGCTCTTAGCCCTCACACCAAGCCTAGTTGATCAGACGTTTGGGTCTGTCATGCTATGGAATGAATGGGGACAGAAGGGGAACACCAGAGGGACAGCCTGCTTCTGCTTATCCAAATCAAGGGCTCTACAAGCCTCCTGTCCTTTGTTTCAGGGGAATGGAACCTGTTGCATAAACCTTAACGCAGAGGAACTGTGTCTTCCTCCAAGGATGGGTGGATTCCACAGAGTCTGATTCTGAAAGCTGATATCTAAACAGTTGTTATGAAAATACCAGATCCCAGCAACTCATCTCTATTTCTCATGGAACCGCCTTAGCAGGACCACTGCTCACTGAGCTAAAGATATTGAGGACTCCTCCTTGCCAAGGACCAGAACACAGTTGGAGGGCTGCAACGTTCGAGGTCTGGATTTAGCGGCAGAGATGGAGATGGGGTTGCTGAGAGCACCTCCTCTATCCTTTGTTTGGGGATGGGGCTCTGGGCTGGAGTTCAAGGCTGTCCCAGGAGAGCCAAGCCCCAGCTAGTGACTGGTGTGTTTGCAATTGTTTGTTCAGCAGCAGTCGCAAATGGATGCTAAAAGGCTTTGTGGTTCATTGATGGTCATGCTCCTCTCCATCCCATTCTTCATCCATTTCTTGGGCGAGCCGCAAACTCTCCACTGGCAGCCCCTACCACTGCCCTCACTTGGCGCTGGGTCCTAAATCCTGCCTGCTCACGGCCCTCTGCCTGCCAGCAATCCTGAGGGTGGGTGCCCTTGCTCCAGGTCCCGTATTTTGAAGACCCTTGGCAAGGCCAGGGCCTTGCTGGCCTTCTCCTCTGCTCCTGGCTTTCTGTCTGAGCTCATAGAAACTGGGTGGTGGGTCCATATAGCAGCTGGTATAGTCCAACAGAATAAATGGTTTATTCAAGACATCCACCAGGAGCTTAATCACACAGAGAAAGGGGCCATGGAGAGGAGTTGTTTGGAGCTCCATTATCATTTTACTTGGGATTTGTGGCCCCCCCAGTTTGGGGTCCAGTTGCTGATTCTACTTCAAAGGCTGGATGTGAAATGACTGTGTGGGTGGAGAACAGGAACCCCCATTTAAAAGCAAAAACATATTCTTCACAACTTGGCATGGAGGCAGGGGAAAAGGAAACGATGTCTTTTTGTTTGGTGGTGCCTTGAGATATTATATTAATCTGTGCATCTGCTGTGGCATGGGTGAACCTTGAACATTATGCTCAGTGAAAGAAGCCAGCCACAAAGGACCACGTGTAGAATGAATCCATTTAGATGAAATGTCAGAATAAGCAAATCCATAGAGACAGAAAGTGGTTGCCAGGCACTGGGGGTATGGGAGTACTGGGGAATGATGGCTAAGAGATATGGAGTTTTTTGGGGGGGGTGATGTAAATATTCTAAACTTGACTCTAGTGATGGTTGCACAGCTCTGTGATTATACTAGAAGTTGCTGAATTATACACTTTAAATGGGTGAATTGTATGGTATGCGAAGTATGTTTCAATAAAACTGTCAAAAATAAGCTACACATCTTTTTCCCCCAGCGGGTGTTTTTCCCTTTTCCTTCTCCCACTGAAGTAGGTTACCTGACTCTGCTCCTTGCCCTAGGGGAGAGATGGTAGAAATTGTGAAAAGTCTGCCTATCTCATAGGCTTTTGTGCCTCAAAAGCCTAAACCATTAGGCAAAGTTAGATGCATTATGGAGGAGGTGAAAGGAAGAAGAAAGAGATGCTTGGGTATAAATATAGTGTCATGGAAAAACAAAAAGGAAAACGACTCTCCACAGTGGACTGGAGAGAGGATCCCCAGGCAGGAGAGATGAGGAGAGATGCGTGCAACCTCCAAATCAGTGTGGACTTATGCCAGGGAGGAGGCAAGACCTCAGACAGGTGTGTCTGCATATTGATGCATTGGGCAGACAGGATGTTCCACGTACAATTGATGCATAACAAACCACTTCAAATTTTGTAAAGCAATCATTTTATTATGCTTACAGACTTGGTGGGTCAGGAATGCAGAAAGAGGCCATTAGGAATGGCTTGTCCCTACTCCTTGAGTTCTCGGAAGGGTCAAAGGCAGGGAGTGATTTGCTGGCTGGCCTGGGGCTGGAATCACCCATAGGCTTATTCACCCATATGTCTGGCAGTTGCTGCTGGCTGTCAGCTGGGGTCTCAGTTGGGACTGTCACCTGGAACCCTGCATGCATATTCTTTATGTGGCTGCTTGGGCTTCCTCATAGCATGGAGGCTTAATTTCCAAGAGCAAGCATCCCAAAAGAGCCAGGCACAGCTGTATCTCCCTTTAGAGTCCCATAGTGTCACTTCTGCTATAGGCACAAGACTCTATCTCTTGATGGATGAAGTTTCAAAGTTATATTGTGAGAAGAGCATGTGGGATGAAAGATATTCTGGCCTCTTTGGAAAATACAGCATGCCACATGGGATTATAGATAGCCTTGAAAAACGGTCCTTAGTCTCAAGTACTGTGCAGAAGAAGTAGTGAACCATCAGACCTGCCTGAATGAGCCATACAGAGAAACAGTGAATGCTTCAAGTGTAATCTGAGTGGACAGATGGCCAGCAGCATTCCTCACACCGTCTATCTCCCCACCATGTGTTGGCACAACTTAGAACCCAGGAACCCTGACCTAATCCCAGGGAGTATGGAGGGCAGGAAAGCCTCAAGAAGGACTAAGATCACATTTCTGCCAACCAGGCAAAAGGAGGCTCAAGATTAGAAATTAGGTAGAGTTTTGGAATGCACGTTTGAAAATATCTTGCACACTTGGAGCTTATGGTGTGAACTTTGCACTTGTTCTGCATTCATTCATCTCTACAAAGATGGAACCAAGGAGATAAGGAACAAATGTGTAAACATGGAGGCAGGATGAAGTTCTAAGTCAGGCTTCAGGCCTCCCCAAGTCTCAGGTTACTCCCCGGGCATGGTGAGATTGTATGATGTAGGGTACATGACGCATGGGATGCCCGCATGGGATGCCCTCATGGGATGCACGCTACAGCTCCGTGCCCGAAACATGCTGAAACTCAATGCACACGAGCCATTGTTACTGTTCTTTAGGCCAAGCACTAAGGCGTCAGTCCCAAGCTGGAGAGTGGCCTCACCTGAGATAGAGAGACTCCTATTCCTTCCCCCAGGGCCTCTGAAGGTCGTGCAGAATCACTCATCTCTTCCCTGTCATGTGAAAGCAACCTGATTATGTCCAGGTCATTGGTTCTCAATGAGAGGTGATTTTCCCCCTCACCCCAGAGGACTTTTAGCAACATCTGGTGACATTTTTCATGTCACAACTGGGAAGGAAGGAGGGTGCTACTTTGGCATTTAGAGAATAGAGGCCAGGAATGCTTCTAAACATCCCACAATGCATGGGACAACCCTACAACATGGAACTCTCCAGCCCCAAGTGTCAATAGCGCCTGGGTTATGAAACCTTGGTCTAGGTGTTCTCAACAAGAAATAGATCTTTCAGGGAGATTTTAGAAACACTTGCCCCCTTTTACTCCCGCTGTCCGAATGGCATCCCCTACTCGTGTTCCAAGGTGGTGACTATTTTTTCACCATATTCCAGAAGGAAGTCCAGCCAGGCGAAGTTGGTTGAAAGTACTAAATTTGAGTCTGTGGGTGATTTCTTTTTGCCTTTCGCAATCATGCATATGCTACATACAATTTTTTTTTGTTTTTAAGGCATCATAAAATCTGCCTTCCTTATAGACCAAAAAAGTTATCCGATATAAAAGTGAGCTTTATATATGAGAAAGGTATGATTTCTCGACAGGGAGAAGAATGGTGAGACCAGGGTCCAGGTTACTCACCTTGGGATCGGGGATGATGAGTCTGGAGAAACTGAAAAGAAAAAGTCTGGAATGAGTCATTGATTTTGGTTACAAGGATTGTCAGAAATGAGCAGTCAGAAGAGGCTGAAAGTTAAGTTTAGGAAGACAGAGGCTTTCAGAAAGGAGACTGGTTGACTGGGAAAGGCAGGCAGAGTGGTTCTTGGGCTGTGTCCAGAAGGGGAGACAAGAGGGAAGATTGGTCCTAAAATTTATTGGATTTATTGGGAGGAGAGGTGGGTGAGGAAGGGGTGTGAAACTCAGTTTAGACCTAGAACTTGGGAATGGACTTGGCTTTCTTGGGAATCAGGGGATCTGAGAAGAAGAAAGAAAGGCAAAGAAAGAGGAATGAGAGGGAAGGATGTGAGGGGAAGAAGAGATAGAAAGGGCAATAGCACCTGGGAATGGAGAGGAAGCAAAGGGGATGGAAGGGAGGAATGGAGGCTGCCGGAGGAAACCCGAGCTCCTTAGGTGCTCCAGCATCTCCTGTCCTCCAGGTCTTTCTACAAGTAGCTATTAGCATTGTGCCCCAGACTGACTGGCAGGGGGTAGTCTGCTTGGCAGGCCCCCTAACAGAAAGGGCACAAATGGAAGTAAAGGTGGAAAGAGCAAAGGTGTGGGGTCAGGATCTGAATACTTGGAAGGAAGGTTTGAGCCCTTGGAAATCTGAGCGTAGGGAGGGTGTGAACTGGGAGCTTCTTGCCCCGCCAGGAGGCTTTCTTTGTGTTCAAGGATGGAACTGTTTTTCTGTGTGACAAAGACACACATGGCAGAACCCACAGGCGCTTCCCTTCCCTCCCTTGGAAAGCTGTTGTCAGAAGCCCCTATCTGTCTCTGGGAGAAGATGGGCAGGGGGAGGGAGTGTGTGCAGCGGGAGGAGGAGTTGGGGGGAGGGAAGGCGGCTTGCTCTCCTCCCTGGCACTTGCTATTTCGGACCCACCAAAAGTCTGTTCCTCCTAGGTCTCCGCTCAAATGCAAGTGACAAGACTCCTCGCAGCGATCTCTTTACTTAACCCCTTTTGCTGGGCCATCTGTTCAGAACTCGGATGTATGCTTCTCCTCGGAGCAGACATCACATTATTCAGGCTCCTTCCCTGGCACAGGCTCTGTCCTTCACGGCTGCCCCTGCCTCACACAACAAAACCCAACCGCTTGCTCACGTCCTGAGTGACAAGGATACTTGCAGGCCTGTGGGCGAGTGGATCGCAGTTGAGCAAAAAATACTGGAGGCCTGGTTCCCTACTCATCCTTCCCTCAGATTCCAGCTTATGTCTCAACTCCACTGACTCCCCCGGGCTGGTTTTTAAAAATACCCCTCCTCTGTGTTCCCATGGTGCCTCGTGTTTCTCTCTCATGGTCAGCAAGGAGCTGGGGCTGCCACACCCTGATCCTTCCAGAGAGTCTTCAAGGGGCCTGTCCTACCCCCCTGCCGGTTCTTCAAGCTCCCACAAAGCTTCAACAGCCCAGGGGCTTTCCATTAGTCTCTCTTTCACTCCTAGCCCATCGCCCTTGATAAACCCATCATTCTGGTAGACTTTCTAGAGCAGTGCTGTTTGATAGAACTTCCCACAACTATAGAAATGTTCTCTATTTGCACTGTCCAATGTGGACCCACTAGCCATATGTGTCTACTGAGTCTGTGAAATGTGGCCAGTGCAACCAAGCAACTGTACTTAAATTCTAATTTAATATAATTTTAATCGACTTAAATTTACATAATCCCACAGCAGCAACAGCAGCAGCAATAGCACCTGGGAACTGTTGGAAATGCAGAATCTGGGGCCTCCCTTCAGACCTTCTGGATCAGCATGTCTAGGGATGGGGCCCAGCAATCTGTGTTTTAACAAGCCCTCCAGGTGGTTTTCATGCATAGTGAAGTTTGAGAAGCACTAATTTAGGGCTGAATGCTTGGAAAGCCCCAGCTCCCTTTCTAATACCTGCCAACCCCATCACCTGGAGCTTTGGAGAGCCAGGGTTTTGGAAGATGGACCCAACTTCCTTCTGGGTCTCTGCACTAGTCTTGCTGTCCACCTCTCAGGCAGAGAAGGCAAAACTGGCCTTGGCTGGTGTTCCTCGCACACCCCCATAGCAGGCATCAGGCTGTGGGAAGTTCTGAATAATGAATGCTGCAGAGAGGGGTGCTGGCTTTTTCCGTTCACTCACTGAGCGCCTTCCCTAGTGGGTGGGGTGCACAGTCATCACCCACCCCAAGAGCAATCTTCTCCGGGTGAGAACAGGCCCCTGCCCCCGCCTTTCCTCCCTCACCCACGGAGGCTGGGAGCTGGCTGGGGGAGGCTGCTGAGCCATGCCTTAGAATTTATTCCAAGCAAGGGGATGCAGCGTGCTCAGCGACGAAGCCGTCAAGGTCTTGGTTTTTGTTTTTTCCTAGCCAATATTTATTGAGCTTATCTTCCAGGTACTGGGCTAAGTGGTTTGTGTGCTTACTCTTTACAACAGTTCGATGAGGTGGTTTCGCCATCCTTATTTTTCAGAGGAGCGCAAGGCTCAGAGATGTTAAGTGACTCGCCCAAGTCAACAGCTGGTGTGTCTGATTCCAAAGCCCAAAATTTTACCTGAAGCTCCATGTGCTTCTCCATGGGCCCCTGTTTGTAGCCCCTGAAAAAGGAGGGAGCGTGGACTATCAGGGATGTCAGCTTCTGCCAGTGCCCAGGAAGCTATCTTTTAAGCAGAAATCCCTGAGCCAGTGATTCAAAATTGAAGGATGCTTAATTGCAATTTAATCTTACATCAGGAACTCTATATGTGATTCATGTAATATCAGCTTATGCTGAAACCCTCACCTCTGTTCCTTCTCCCTTTGTCTCTTTCCAGTCTTCATGGCTGTCTCCCGACTAAGACGAGCTGGAGCTGAGCTGGGCACCAAGAAGGGTGTGTCCTGGCTCCAGCTGCAGTGCTGGGAGCAGCCCTGGGCAAGTGCCGCTCGTGGAGGTCAGAGGGCTGGGAGGAGCTGCCTGGAAGCACCTGGGTACAAGAAGGGTGACATTGTCTAGGATGAGGGCAGCCTCAGCACCTGACCTGCTGGGGCCGGAATGTGACTCCTTTCTGGGACCTCAGGTCCTTCTCCAGGAAGATTCCATAGAACCCTCCAGCATCTTCCGTGTCTCCACTGCTTGGTTCTGACTGTCATTCACTGTGCTGCTGTCCCTTTTTGACCTCTTTCTCAGGCCCCATCCTGCTCCGCCCTCTCAGCCTGCCCCTCAGGCTCCAGGGCACAGATTCTGTCCCTGTGTCTGCCTGCTCCAGCTGGCTTTGTGGCCTCTTGTTTCCTTCAGAGTGTCTGTGTCACCTTTGAAGTTTGCCCTCTGCCCTTGGGTGGCGAGATGGGGCTCCAGGGTGATAATCAGGGTGTGAAGGGATGCAGCATCCAGGCAAGGCGTGACTGCAGGAGCCCTGGGGGAGAGGTGGCAGCTGGACCTTTGCTTTTCCTTCCGTGGCCAGTAGGTGGTGCTAGATGCCAGCCAAGGCCCATCTGGGGCCTTGGATGTGCAAACTGCAGCCCTCACTTGCAGCAAAGGGCTCAGCTTGCCACCCAGCTCTTTTGGGAGAGATGTAAGGAAACACAGACTTGCACGCTGATTCAGGACACTGGAGGGGATGGGAGAACTCAGTAGTTTCTCTTCACTCAGGCTTGTGGCCCTTATAGGTTTGTTCCCCACTAGGAATTGGAAACAGGTTGAAAAGAGAACCTACCTTACCTTTTCCTCCCCAAGGAGATTGGAGGAACTGGATTACAGGCACTTGTTTCCACCTTTGCCCAAATATCATCTCTTCCAAGCAGGGGTTGACCCTTGCCTGTGGGCGCTCATGACAAGTTTTATTAATGCTTCACCACACTGGGGGCACATTATACGTGACAGAAGCACTGTTTCCATGGCTGCCTTCCTCAGTAGACTGTCAGCTCCTGGAGGTCATTTTATAATCACTTCTGTATCCCCAGTGCCTACTCAAGGCCTGGCGCATAGCATGTGCTCAATAAATGAGTTAGCAAGTGAATGAGTCAATGGAGAGATGAGCTCAATAGTTTCTACTGGCTGTAAAGAGAATGTGCTATCTTTCTGTTTGGAGATCTTTAAGTACAGAGGTAGTCCCTCTGCTTAAGGATTTTAGGGATGGCCCAGTGGAAAGGATGAACATTGAAGCCTTCTTGAGGCCAATGCCGAATTCAGAACTTCACACATATATATGGAAGGTGCTTATTTTCCTTTCATTTGATGAACATTCACTGCATGCCCACAGTGGACCAGGTACATCTTTCTAAGTCAAGAAACTTCCTCATGTCTGCAAAGAAATCTTCCCATATCTACAAAGAAGAGGAATGACATATAGCCTGGACACTGGAGCTCAGGGACTTTGGACTTAGCTTCCAGGCATGCAGAGCTCGGGAAAATGGTTGGACTTTTGGGGTTGACCAGTCAGAAAATAAAAAAGGAGCTCTGTTGGGCAGGACCTGGGCTGCTGGGCTCAGTGTGCAGAGAGAGGGGATGTTATCTAGGCAGGGAAATGAACAAGCATTGAAGTAACCTGGTTGGCGGGGGCGGGGGGTGGGGGGGGGCGTTTGTTCCTCTAAAACTATTTTTCCCTGCCTAAGACTCAAACTCTAAAGAATGTGCAGTTTTATTGAGAATAAGCAGGCTAATCAGATGTGCAGCTGACATGGAATTGGGAAGGGTTAGGTAATTCTGAGGATCCCTAAAGATCTGTACAGACAAGGATGGAGGGATGAGTCAACAAGGCACCGTGTAACAGGGATAAAAGTAAAGTTCTGCCCCAAAAGCCAACTGGATTTAGGAGGCATGGCTTTAGAGTTATGAAGACTCTAGGGCTTCTTAATGATACGAGTTAGCCATGGAATGGGAGGGCCACAACAATAAATTAGTGTTGCAAGAGTGTTTAGAATAAGGGTCTGAGCTGCAGTCGGCTCTGGTTAACCACTCTTGGAAGGTTCCATTCAGTTCTAGGGAACTTTATAAGGATTCAATGAACATCAGTTTGTGTTGAAACCCTGATGCCTGTTCCTTCCCCCTTTGTCTCTTTCCAATCCTTATTGCTATCTCCCAACTAAGAAGAGCCAGAAGAGCTGTCTTTTAATACATATGATGTACTGAAGCAAACACTGAGGGAACAAGCCCAGCAAGGCGAAGACTCAAAACCAGCTCATAAGAGAAACCATTGAAGGAACCAGAGCTCATTACCCTGGAGAAAACAAGGCATGGGGCACGTGAGACTCAAAGGAGTGATTCTACTTGTGTTGAGATGACTCGGTGAGCAGACTTGACATGTCTGCGGCAGATGAGTTCCCCTGGGAATTTGCAAGCCCAGGATGGGGGTCGAGTTTGAAGCCCCTGTGTTTCCTTTTGGGCCTCTGAGACCAAGAGCAAGTCTCTCTCTATCTCTCTGCACCTCTAAGCTTCCTCAGGGACTGCTTAGCCATAATGTCAAGTAGCTGTAAGGGTCTGTGGCCTCACAGCTCTGCCTCTCCTGTTGGCCCTGTGGTGCCGCACTCAAGCCTCTTGCTGAGCCTGGGGCTGTGGATTGAGCTGGCTCCTCTTGAGTCTCTGGGAGAGAACCAGGAGTAGCAGAGCTGATGTGCTTATGGCTCTCAGAGATGGGGCAGCTCAGGCTCGAAGGCTTCTGCTGCTCTCCTCTTGCTCCCTCCTCTGCAAAGACTTGGGGTTCAAATCCTAGCTGTGTGATCTTGGGTAAGTCAGATGACCTCCCAGAGCCTCAGCATGGGCACTTGCTGGGTTAATTTCAAGATTCATTAATCTTGAAATGACTCTACTTGTGTTCAGATGACCCGGTGAGCAGACTTGACATGTTTGAAGAGGGTGAGTTCCCCTCGGGATTTGCAAGCCCAGGATGCTCCATTCCTTCATCTCAGCACTGTTTGTCATCTGCCCTGGAGCTCCACAGCGAAGGGCACATCTCATCTCAGTTGGAATGGGTTTGCCCTTTCCTTTCTCACTTGGCAACTGTTCATTTCCCCCTGGAACTTCTAATGAATCTTGAAATTAACCTGACATTAACCAGGTATCCTATGGCAGGTACGGCAGGTATCCTTTCTGTGGACCATCTCTCGGAGCCACCCGCCTCACCTTGAACACTGTAGCATGAAGCACCTTCAACAGCCACTTGCTGGAATTAGGGGGATGACCTTCCCCCTTTGCCCTGGGTGGAGGGGATTCCTGGGATGTGGGACTTTGAATGCTAAAACCTAGAATGATCTGGGCAAGCCAAGACCAGTTGGTTAACTTAGCTGGACTCCCCATCCATTTATCTTCCTCTGCGACGTGGCTGTCCTCCTGTCAGCCCTCAGTTAAAGATTCACTGAAGGATGGCTCGGGGCAGCTATTGAGGACTGACGCTCTGTCCCTTCATCTCAGCACTCTTTGTCACCCCTTGGAGCGCCACAGCAAAGGAAACATCTCCTCTCACTTAGAATGGGCTTGCCCTTTCCTTTCTCACTTGGCAACTGTTCATTTCCCCCTGGAATTTCTAATGAATCTTGAAGTTAACCTGGCATTTTCTCCCTGCTTATCTCACATGGGGAGCCTGGTGCTTTGGGCTGTCCATTGCTGGACAGAGGAGGAACAGGAGGAGCAGCTGTGTGCCCAGGCTCAGCCTGCAGAGGGACAGCAGCTCTCATTCCCCTCATCGCTGAGGACCCTGGTGCTCATGAGGCCTCTAGGTGCCTGGGTCTGGTTCTTTTCAGTCTCCCAGGATAAACAAATGTATTTGGGCTCAGTGCATGACTTTTCCTAGGGCAAGAAAGTCATCGTATTGACTGGTGCTGTTCTCAGATATTTTCACTTCCTTTCAAGTTGAGAAAAGGCCCTGCAGGGACATAAGGCCAGTTTCCCAATGACCATGGATGGGATCCCACATTGCTGCAACCTCTTCCAGCCCATTTAAAGAAGGGCCTTCCATAGAAGCACAAACCCCAAGGCCACACAGTCTGACAGTGGACTTAGCCTTGCCTGCCTTCAATTTAAAACCCTGTCCAAAGACCACACTGCTCCGTTGGCACATTTCTTCCTGGGACCCAGAGAAATATCCTGCTGGGATGGAAAGTAGGGGATGGGAAAGAATAGCAAGCATTATTTTCTGGTTTGGTTTTCTAGTTTAATTCAATGTGTACTAGATAAACACACATTGATGGAATGCCTGTTAGGTACTGGACTCTGTGTAAATATATGGCCCTGGCTTCAAGGAACCTAGAGTTCAGGATAGAGGCAGAAGTATGCATGGCCATCTCTGACGGATGGAAGACCAATGGAAGGCTCTCAATGATGCTGTAATAGTTGCTGAGCTGCCCCGTTCTGAACATACAGGAGGCAAAATTGCTTGGAGAAATTGGGGGGCTTGTTAGGGAGGTGAGATGCCTGGGCTTTGAAAGCTAGACAGAGTTTTGACAGGCTGGAGCTGAAGAGCCAAAATATAGAGATGGGTAACAGTGGGAAAAGGTGAGATTGGAAGTGGGCTGGAGCCCAGGTGCTGGGCACAAGGGGCAGTCTGGTGGCAGAGCAGCTGAAGTGGGAGGAGAGGCTGGGTCCTGGACAGTGCTGGATGCTGGGTGGTGGAGCTTAAAGTGGAGACCTGTAGGCAGTGGGGATCCAGGGAAAGTTGGAAAGCAGGAGAGAGCCAGAAACCCATCATCTTTTGACAAAATGTCAGTTCCCCTGTGACTTCCCCCTGTTGCTGTATTTTCCTGTTTCTTCTTTAACAAGGAGCTGGACCAGACTTCCCCCACCTGGAGCAGCCTTTTCCTTTCTCTTCATGCCTGGAGCAGGGAGGTTTGACCCAGCCCTAGGGAAGCTCTTGCCATTGGCTCCACTTCATTCCCAGGCTGGGAGTGGCAGAGCCCCTCCTCCCCATCTCTGCACTGGATCCCACTGCTCCCTGGCTGCTTAGAAGCAGGGCTTTGAGGTCAGACAGATGCAAGTTTGCTCCTGGTCTCCCCAGTGTAACTTCAGGTACGCGACTTAACCTCTTTAAGTGTCTGATTCTTCACCTGCAAAAGATGGATGATGAGAGAGACGCCACTGGGTGGGGAGGAGTCCACTGGCATCTGACCCTCGTGGGCACTCAGGGACGTGCTTCCTTTTCCCTCTTCTCCCTTTCAGGCTGGGGATGGGAGGAGGGTATCTTGGCCTTTCCAGGAAGCAGCTAGCTAGCGTTGGCTGGGGAGACAGTGGGCAGCTCCAGGTGCTGTGGGGCTCCTTGTTGGGCTTCCCAAAGCTGCTGGCCTTTTAAATTGCCTTGCTGTCTTCCTTACAGGATAACAAGGGCATAAATCAGGAGCTGTCAGCATTCATTTCCATCCTTGGGTGGACAGTTGTCCTGCCCTCACCAGGCTCCAGGCATGTCTGCAGAAGATCAGCTCCCTAAAAGCCAGGGAGGGTGATGGGCTGGGGCTGAGGGGGTCAGTTCCAACCCCAGAGCTGCAGGAGGAAGGGCCGGCATGCGCTGCCACTCCCATGTGGGTCTGTCCTTCCTGGTCCACATCAGTCCTGGGTCAGAAACCACAAGCTGTCAGACAAGTGGGGCCTAGAATCTTCTCTCTGAAATGTCAGGCTGCCAGGATGAGACCAACAGTTGCCAGGGGCTGTGTGTGCCAGGAATGGAAGAGGGAAAACCTTCTGCCAGGAGCCTCGGGCAGAGACTTCAACAAGGGTGGTTGCTCCTTGTCCTTCTGCTTCTAGGGGACTGGAGGGTGCCAGAAGCAAAAGCAGCTCTCAGAAAATCAGTGAAGAGAATGAGAGGTAGCAGAGAACCTCAGGACTTGAGCAATAGAGCCCTTAACTGCAGCCAGGACCTAGAAAGCTTGGGTGTCTCAGCTGGGAGGAGTTTTTGAAGGGCTCCAATTTAAACACAGCCATTTTACAGATGAGGAAAATGAGGCCCAGCAGGACCAGACTTGGTTATCTGGGTCTTAATCCCAAGGCAGCTGCCACAGGATCTCATAAACACAGAACAGGCACCCAACAAACAAACAAATGAATCAATGAAAGTAAACAGATGTATGAATGAAAATGAATGAAAGAAGAGAGCTGTAGCCCCTCTGACTCTCCCCAATGAAAATGAACCTCTCGGCTGGGCACAGTGGCTCACGCCTGTAATCCCAGCACTTTGGGAGGCTGAGGTGGGTGAATCACTTGAGGTCAGGAGTTCGAGACTGGCCTGGCCAACATGGTGAAACCCCGTCTGTACTAAAAATACAAAAATTAGCTGGGCGTGGTGCCACACACCTGTAATCCCAGCTACTCGGCAGGCTAAGGCAGGAGAATCGCTTGAACCCGGGAGACAGAAGTTGCATTGAGCTGAGATGGTGCCACTGTACTCCAGCCTAGGTGACAGAGAGAGATTCCATCTCAAAAAAAAAAAAAAAAAAAAGAAAGAAAGAAAAAGAAAATGAACTTCTCTATGCGCTCACTGCCCACCGACACCTGGCCCCTGCCATTTGCCACGTGTCACAGATGATATTCTGCTGTTTTCCCTAACAGAGCCGACAGACCATGAGCTACTTGAGACCAGAGACCAATCTAATGACCAATTCGATGTCTCTTGCCTCGCCCATGGCTTGCCCTTGTTAAATGCTCTGGGATGCTCTAGACCTTTTTTTTTTTTTTTTCATTTCCACTGGATCCATCTGGGGTAAGGGATGCAGGGACTGAGAGGATATTCCTATCCTGCCTCAGTTCAGCCCAAGAGTCAGCTGGAGAGAAGCAGGCGGCAGAAGCAGGCAAATCGGTCCTCTTTAGGAAAGGTCAGCTAAATCAGCCCCCCTGCAAGAAACGTGCCTGGTATTTTTAGAAGCTCTTCAAGCCTGTGGGCCTGAGCTCAGCAGGAGGCACTCAGAGCCTTCACCCATCCAGCCCCTGATCACCCCAGTTTAACCCCACTTCACTGTCTCCTACTTCAGGCAAGGGAAGGTAACTGAGCAGAAGCTGATAGAGTCATTCAGCGAGGCCACATGGCTAAACCCTGATCTCCTTTAGATGATACAATAGGCGGTCTCATCTACTTCACTGGCCAAAATGTATCATGTGACCATGAGAAAGTCGCGTTCCTATGTTACTCCTACCTGTACGATGGAGAGGTCATTATATTTGCCTGTAAATCCATTTCGGAAACGAGGCAGGAAAAATAGGTATCCAATAAACACCAAAAATTGCTGTACTCTGCTGGATTCTGGGGGACTGTTGTAAGGCCTGGGTGAGGTTATGTTGGAGAATTTTGTGTTCCTTGGAGAGAGATGCTTAAAGAGCTGATGTCATAAAAATGTGTCATAAAATGCTGTTGTGCTGAAAAAAGAAAAAAAAAGGGTAGCTTTCCACTTGAGAGAGAGGTGTGTGGTCCAGGAGGGGCCAGCAGCATTTGGGACATGAGGTTCTCAGACCTCTAGCCAGAATCTGTTACTTGTCTTTCTTTCTTTCTTTCTTTCTTTCTTTCTTTCTTTCTTTCTTTCTTTCTTTCTGTCTGTCTGTCTGTCTTTCTTTCTTTCTTTCTTTCTTTCTTTCTTTCTTTCTCTTTCTCTTTCTTTCTTTCTTTCTTCCTTTCCTTCCCTTCCTTCCTTCTTTCCTTCCTTCCTTCCTTCCTTCCTTCCTTCCTTCCTTCCTTCCTTCCGTCTTTCTTTCTTTCTTTCTTTCTGTCTGTCTGTCTTTCTTTCTTTCTTTCTTTCTTTCTTTCTTTCTTTCTTTCTTTCTTTCTTTTTCTTTCTTTCTTTCTTTCTTCCTTTCCTTCCCTTCCTTCCTTCCTTCCTTCCTTCCTTCCTTCCTTCCTTCTTTCTTTCTTTCTTTCTTTCTTTCTTTCTTTCTTTCTTTCTTTCTTTCTTTCATTTTTTTGAATGGGCAGAATGGATGCCTCGGAGTAGAAGCCTTTGGCTGTAGTCCTAACTAACTATGCAGCTTTGGGGACATAACTTAGTTATCTTGGGCCTAATTTGTCTACCTATAAAATAGCAGGGACAGGGGATTGTACTAAATGTGGTGTTTCCCAAATTGGTAAGTTTCCATGAGGCTTTTGTGACTGTGGCAATACCCCAGGGTCTTCAAAGGCACAGGAATAACAAACATGGCACAAATCTTCCACCCCCTTCCCCCTCATCCCCTCCCTCCCTGCTCTCTCTCCTCCAAGTTTGGGAATTCTAGTTGGGAAAATGTGAGGAACACAGGAATGGTTAATCTCTAAGGCCTTTTCAAAGATTATGATTTTATAATTATAAAATCAGTGATATTATTATTGCTATTATTTTTGGTATGTGTGAGGGAGTTGGGGTTAATGATAAACTGAACTCACAGAAATGTCTAGTATCTTCTTTCTTCTTCCTAAAATCCCGGGACTGGAAACTTTCAGTGGACTTGGAAGTTGAAAGCAAAGTGAGCTGGCTTCTGTGGTCAGCCCATGAGGGCAGGGAGGGACAGAAGAGAAGAGTGGGGGTCAGGAAGTGCGGTGATATTTACAAAGTTCTATTCTGTCATCTTTGCATCAGAGAGTTTACAGATTAAAAGTATGGCTTCTAATTCAATCTGGCACAAGGGAATGAGGATCCTGCCATCAGCATCCTTCATTAAGCACCTTCTTTTGCCCCCAGCCTCTGCAGTTGCCCTCACCACACACGCAACCTCCCCACACACCCCTCTGGCTCCCACCTCTCTCTCCGACCTGCATCCACATGTGCATACCCAGCCCATTGGGAGTGCCCCTCACCCACACCCCACCGCACCCCACCCACGAGTAAAGCCCACCCGCCCCCCGCCACCTGCTCCCCGTGCTCACCTGCACTGTCCAGCCCCTGAAGACCCCCTCGCAGGCTGGAGGTTCCTGCCACCCTCAGCACATGCCCCTGGGGACCACATGTGGTGAGTTCACACACCCATCCCCGAGCCCACTCCCCATCTCTCTGTCGCTGCCCACAGCCTTCCCCAGGCTTGGAGCACACACTTGTTCACCCTGTTTAAGATCAAAAATAAACTCTCTGGAACCTGTTCAAAGGTTAATGTGCATCCTCCCTTAATTATTGATTTGTTGATTACAGATGCTTGGGTAGGACATTCATTGTGTCCACTGTGCCAAGGGCCTAACTCTAGAATCCCTGTCCTTTTTGGGAGAAAGTTGGCCCATTGATCTTTTGGGAAGGAGCTATTTGAGTGTTAGATAAAACCTGTCCTGCCACAGGACAGGTCATAGACTAAATATTGTGCTCCCTGCTGAAGCCCTCATTAGCCCTAGCCCAGGATGGTCTAGGGCTATGGCTAATGAGGGCTTGGATGGTCACCGCTGGGGTCCTCCCTCCTTCCTTCGGTCTCAAAACCAGGGAAACCCTGGCAAAGGGGTGTGGGGATGCAGAGGGGCAGAAGTGCACCTCACCAAGTCCCCTGCAGAGGTGGCAGTCTCCCCTTTCCTCATTGCCTCACTAGGGACAATTTAGTGTAAAAAGTGGCACCTGGTTCCATGCTGTGTTTAGGAGACCAGGGTTTAAAACCTGGCTTATTCCACGTACCAGTTGGGTGACCTTGGACATGTGATTTAACCTCTCTGATTCTATTTCTCAACTGTAAAACCAAGTATTTGTGAGGATTCAATGAAATGACACACGTGAAGGCTATAGAAAAATGTCACACACAGAAAACAGTCAATACGTTGCGGTTGAAGTTATTATCATCATCATCACCATCATTCTGCCCATCTTCATCTCTGGGGCCCCACGATCGTAAGAGATGGCTTTCTTTGGTCCAGGGGATGCTTCCCTTTTGGTATGTGGGTGTGGCCTCTGGATGGCTTCTGCTACATTTAAATCTGTCAGGGACACTGAGCCCTGGGGCAACCATAAACTCTTCTGGAAAGAGGTTAGATCCTTCACACCACAGTTCTATGGACATCTCCTTGTTCGTTCCAGCATGAGGCTGGGCAAGGGGAGTGTGGGGCTTGTCACTGGGAAACACTGGGGAGAGGTCTGTCATAGGGCACATGCACAGTGGGAAAATGTCACTGCCATCCATCCATGGGGTTGGACTCCTGGGCTCTCTTTCTTGGAGGGAAGTTCTAGAACTTGACACTAGGAAGAGGGTGTTCAAGGGGAACTCCAAGTGTCCGCAGTGCTTTGAGGGTCATCTGGCTTCCAGCAGTTGGATGAACTCATGGTGCCTTCCAGGTGTGCTTCCAGGCTGAGTTTCTAGGACCCCTTCCCCATGCCTCACATTCACCCCACAGCTTTGAGCATCCGACCTGAGCTTTTGTCAGGGCTGGTTTGCACCTTCCCCCACTGCCACCTTCATTCCCTTTCCCACCCCCATCCCAGAACTCCCTGGGCTGGGCTTTCTGTTCCCTCAGTTCCCAGGCAGTGCAGCTGGTGCTGTGGGCTGGGGAGGGGGTGGAGGACGCAGCAGAAAGTCTGTGGGAGGGAACTATCTCTTAGTTCCAAAGGCAAGCATGGCTTCCCATGCCCTTCCCCACAACGCATCGCTTCCCCCAAATTCCCACACTGGTGTCTCAGCAAATAAGACAACACTTTTTTTTTTAAATTTTGGTTTTCCATTTGCTCTTGATACCTACTTAAATGTGTGTTGTGTGTGTGCTGTTCTCAGTAATCAGTGCCAGAAGAAATTGGAGCTGATCTGGTGATTTCTTGTTTTGAGTCCCAGGTATCTGGCAAATATCTGGTCTCCTCCTCTCTGGGCCTGAGGAGTTTGGGGCATCACCTCTTTGGCCCTCTATGCTCCTGGAGTTCTGTTCTGTTTAAAGAAACAGAAGCCAGGATAGTTTCTAGCAAGCAAGGAGGGTGGAGTTGTGAGCACCCTAATAGGGAGGCCGAACCATCTGGTATGGAGCGGGCCCCCTAAGGAAGAATAGTAGAAAGAAAAAATAAGGGAAGGGAGAACTCCTATGTATCAAATCCTGGGCTAGGCACATTATGCACGTTTTATGATTGCCTTCTCCAAACTGCATTGCAAGGGAAATATCCATGAGCAGTGCCCTTCAGGAGAGGAGGATGAGGCTCTGCTAGGTGAAATGATAAGCCCAGGTCACCAGCTAGAAAGTGCTGGAGCTGGGGTTCAAACCAGATTTGCCTGGGGCTAAAACTCACACTTCATAAAGCTGCCCCTTGGAGGCGAGAGTGTAATGCATGGTGTAAATGGAAGCTGTTGTCTTGGCTTTCCTCAACTCTGAGATCATCTGGTTGTTGATAAATGCAGGCAGGTCAGAGGTGAAGTGCTAATCAAGTGTGCAAAGGTACTGGTGTCCGCTACTCTTAGTGGAAACCAGTGGCTGTCATTTGTGAGTGTTAATGTCCACAAGGTGTTTTCAGGTGCATTATCTTGCTTGGTCCTTGGCATCATTGGATCCCCACGTGACAGAGAAGGAAGTGGAGGATAAGAGAAGGACAGTAGCATGCCCAAGGTGATGCAGCCCAATATGCTTTGATGCTAAATGAATGCATTAGTACAAAGATGGGTCTGAAAGCCATAGTCCTATAATCTGAGCCAGAGGCTCAGGGCCAGGGCAGCTGGAAGGTGTGGCATGGGCTGCTTTGGTGAGGAGCAGGTGGAGAGAAGGGCAACCGTGGGAGGTGGTGAGGCAGAGGCGGGAGCCTGGGAGCCGAGCAGGAGTGGGCTGGGTTGACCAAGAAGGGCAATAGGATACAGTGGGGGCCCTAGGAGATGGGGAGGAACGAAGGGGGAATGTCTAACCCAGAAGAAGTCTTTCTTTGGCTTTCTGCAGGGCAGAGGCCACAGTAATGGGGCTGCTGGACCTGGGCTCTTCCCTAGACTCAGTGGGAGGAGGCTGCCAAAGGCCCAGGTGGTAGGACATTGCTGTTCCCAACCTTCTCTTGAAAACAGGAGCTGCTAATCTTTCTGCTTCTAGAAACCCCTTGATATTTGCCTTGTTGGGGAGAAGTGTGTGGCGGCACATATAACTCTGGGGATACAGAGGAAGTGGTCAGCTCAAAGCACCTCACTTCTGTTAAGTCCCAAACTTCTCTTGTGGACACACATGGGGTTTCAGGCAGCAAAATAATTCATTTAATCTTCCCCCAAAATATGTGGTGTCCATTTTTGGGCTAGCACCAAAGTAGGCCCTGGGGGGTATGTAGTGAACAACACTGACAGCTCCTGGCCCTCTTGGTCCCTGCAGCCCAGGGGGAGGCAGACACTGAACCCTTACTTCCATGTGTGTGGAGTGGTACAAAAGGGCAAGGTGTGCTGGGGGCAGCCATTCATTCAACAACCACCTAGAGAGCCCCTCTGTGTTCTCAATGCCGTTTACGGGGCTGGCAAATCAGTAGATAAAATAAGCAAGGTCTGTGCCCTCAAGGAAGTTACATTTTAAAACCTGGTAACAGGAATATCTCCTTGCAAGTCAGGAAGGTGCCCAGACTTCTCTGCCCCACCCTGTCAATCTTAGTTGCTTCATCTGCCAAATGAAGGCCATTATCCCCGGCTGCCCTCTGAGATGATCCCTGGCTGCTCTCTCATCAGTAAATAGGCAAATGGCTGGGTATTGTGCAGAGGAAGGCACAATGTAAGTTACTCCGAGAGAGCTCATCTAGGAAGGCACGTGAGGGCTATGTCTATAATGGAGGGTGGGTGTGGAGGTGCAATTCTCCAGCCTCTCCATTCCCCTCAGTCCCTGTCAGTGGTGCTGCACTAGCCTCTGCCAACCACCTGCAGGTTTCTGGCTTCCTAAAAGTGTGAGTCCTGACTCTTGACTCCTGATTTCATACCTTGGGGGAAGTTGGCTCATGGAGTGGGAATCCCTCTTCCCTGGCTCCCCTAACCTGCCTGCAGTGCTCACCTGCTGGCAGGAAGTCAGCTGCCTGCCCTGGATCCTGCTGTCTAAGGAAGGGCTCTAGCATCTGCTCCTGCAGGGCCCCCACCAGGACACTCAGAGGCCAGGGAGGCCTTGTGAGTCACTGCCTCTGCAGGACCTAGGACGTGCGGCATTAAATTCCCAGCCCAACTCAACTGCTCAGAGCCGGTGGTGACTCAGCAGGGTCTACCTTCCTATGGAAGGGACCAAAGCCCAGAAGGAGCAACTCAAAGGCATGAGAACCAGCAGCGAGGGGCTCCGGGGCTGAGGAGTTGCATCTCAGGGGAGATGTACCTGGGCCTGCGCTCTGTACTTTCTTCCCCAGGGACCCGAGATTCACTGAACCCTCTCTGGCAGCACACCACTTTGGGGTCTAGGACCAGAGCCAGAGAGTATCTGTGGGCGGTGGCTGCACCCGACCCATTGCACCAACTTGCCAGGGGGTGCTGCAATGTGTGTGGGAAGAGCTTCATGGCGGCATTGTGTTTGGCTGTTAGTGGATAAAGGCTGCTGGGGCCTCCCTGCTGGGTGGTAAAGCCCTCTGGGAACCTCAAAAGTGGCATAATAAAGTTGACATACCATGCTTATGTGCACCAGGCACTATTCAAAGTGCCTTACTGTGTTATCTCATGACAACCTTGTGAGTTAGATCCTATTTTGCAGAAGGGGAAACTGAGGCGGAGAGCCTTAAGTACATTGCTAGGGTTCGATACTAGCGGGTAGTAAACCCTACATGACACCATTTTAGTCCCATTACAGCTGCTTACCGCCTGGCTCCCCAAGGTCAGAGCACCTCAAGCCGGTGTGATCTGGAGCCATGCTTTATTTAAACCGATCACTTTGACAAACCGAATGCATTTCCAATAGCTGTAGTGGGGAAAGATCAGAAAGCTGTGCTTTTGGAGTATAGGGAAGGAACTGAGGCTTTGCTCAGAGAAGAGAGGGGCAGTGAGTAGCCTCCTGGGTGGCTTGCAGAAAAGAGGTGAGACTTTTCCCTGAGGGTCTAGGTGGCAGCACTAGCACGAGGGTGGCAGCTTTAGGGTGCTGGCTTCGCTATGTCAAAGTCAAGGATACCCAAGGAATGGAGCTGTCTGAGAACAGAGTCGAAGGCTCTGGAGTGGCTGGTAATGAGCTTCCTGCCACTGAAGGTGTTCAAGCAGGACACCACCAGCAGGTAGTCCCAACCTCCTGGCAGGTGTTTGTCCAAGATATTGGGACTTGAGTGGGAGCCCTGAGCTGGCTCTTCCATGGTTGAATTCTTCTGCTTTCCTGGACCACTTTGGTGCTTGACTGTCCCCTTTTGTGGGTGGGCTTTCATCTTCCATGTATGGTCAAAATTCTTTCCTTGGACCCAGAGCTTCTGGATAGCATTATACATCCCCAGCCTCCAACCAGGCCCAGACCTGTCTCTTTCCCTTGTAACTTATGCTTGGGCCACCCAAGAAACAGAACTCCTCCTCTAGCCCAAGCCCAGATCTGCCAGCTCCAGATAGCTCTTTTAGAACAGCAAGTCCTTCAGGACCTAGTATTCCCTTTGTAGCCCGCTGTGCTCCCCAGTCACCTCCCAGTATCACAGTTTCTTGACCAGCTGAGACTTGCAGAAGTAGATCCTATTTCTGCTCAAACTTGAAAGTTGTGAAGCACAGCTCTTGGATTCAGAATGACACCATAGGAGCAGGGCATGGTGGGTGAATCCATGGACCTGCCTGGTGTGTGGCCTACATCCCGGTAATGTGGCCACTGACTCAGGAGTATGGGTCCTTTGGAAAAAGGGATGTGGCTGGGTTAGAAAGGCAGACAGGTGACCAATAGACTGGCAGGGCTCTGCTCTGAGTTTCCACTCCCTTTCTCCCTTGCTAGGTGGAGGGGAATGTGGGCTGCTGGAAATCTCCCATAAACAGTTGATATTAATCTCAGGTGCTTGCACGCCTGGAACATGCCTTTTAAGAAAGACACGTGTTCAATTTCTCTAGGTGTCAGGGGAGTTGGGCCACTGTGCTCCAGCAAGTGGTCCCCACTCTGACCTGTCTGGTGAAAGATTGCATTCGAATCTTGGGAACATTTCTGTCTTCTCCAAACCCTTGGTACTGGAAGGTGTCTGCTCGCCTGTAAAGGGTTTCTAAAGCTTTACTTTCTGTTCAAAAAACAAAACAAAACAAAAAACTTTGCCTATTCCTGCCTCTTATTGATCAGCAAGGGGCACACGGGTGAGTTTCCTCCTTTCTAAGACTCCAGCTGGTAGCAAAGGAGATGAGGAGGTTGGGGGGTGACCCCTGGTTGGCTGGATGCTGAGCTTGGTCATGATATCTCCAGGACTCCATGAAGCGACAGGCATTTTTCCTTTTCAACCAGGACATTCTTATCAAGAGGTGAGACACTGTAAATGCTCTGGACTCTTACTGAGGGGAGGGTGTCTACGCTGGAGACTTTCTTCTGCTCCCACATTTAAATTTGGCCTACTGCAGAGGTTAAGAACTAGCAAACTCTGAGTGTGCACTATTATTGACCCTGCACTATGATTTCTGTGAGCAGTGCATGAGCAGGTCATTCTCATCTTCTTAAGCTTAGAATGAAACTTCAAATGTCTTTTTCTGACAAGGCCCCTGCCTCTGAGATACCCAGTTTATTTCACCCTAACTTCACTGTAACTGAATAACATTATGAGGACCCATCCCCATCATTCCCCACCTTTTTTTTTTTTTTCTCCCTCAACAGTCCCTTTGGCCCAGATCCATGTAGAATCAGAGAATCTTCAAGCTGGGAGGGATGACTATGGGGCTGCGATGTGCTTATGAATCACCTGGGAGCTTGTTCTGATGGACATTCTGGTTTGGGAGGTCTGTGATGGGGCCTCAGATGCTGCACTTCTTGCAAGCTTCCAGGTGATATGGATGCTACTGG